>NC_000003.12:57282727-57585757 GCF_000001405.40 Homo sapiens
TGGAGTTTTGGTTATTACTAGAGTGAAAAACTGGGACCCAAAGAGAAGAAATCAGGAATAATTTCCTAACATCTAAAGCCATTTGGTAACAGATTAAACTGCCTCATGATTTGGACTTAGGCAGAGGTAATGTGCAGAGTATGTTGCAGGGTGTTTGATTTTATGATTCTAGAAAAGGACAACACCACAAAAAGGTTAAAAAACCATCATCATCTTAGCACAGTGAGGGAATGTTAAGTAAACGTAACCTGCATCCTAGTAACTTTAGGGAAATTATGTCAGACCTAATAAAAAATTCAGTCTTTATGTTAGGCTTCTCAGTAATCACTATTAACCCATAATTTTTATCAAACATTTATATTAGGCTTAAATGTTAACTTTTATTATTTTGAAGCTCTCCATTAAGAGGAGAACCCCTGGATCATGTTACCCTTTGTTAGTGTGCTGACCAAACAGAAGATCTTGCCTTTCCGCAGTAACATTTCCATGATTTCAGTGTGTCCACTTTGGGCAGCAAGAGCAAGAGGAGTGAATCCATACGTGCTCTGTGGGTCAGGGTGTGCCCCAGAAACCAGCATAAGCTTCACCATGTCCTCTCTGCCCAGTTTGGCTGCTTCGTGGAGAGCTGTCCTCTCGTTGGCACAACGCAGATTGACATCTGCTCCATAGTTGATCAGCAAGGCAGCCATGTCATAGCAGTCACGCAGCACAGCTGGGAAATGAGAAGTGTGGTGGGCATGTTCAACGGGAAGTTAAGCCCAAAGTAGCATATCTGCAAGTATCCCTCAGGCTTTCTTAAGGAGTTCTTCCCACCCACTCCCAGACCCGAACATTCTGTGTTTAGGAAACAGATTGTAAAGTAAGGCATGTGTCAAATAATACTTACTGAGAATGTTTTACATCAATGGACTATGTTTTTCTGTAAGCCATGAGTAATTATTCATTGCTTATGTGGTTGAAACACAAATGTAAACTTTTCACTTATCTTTATTCTTCAAGAAAATGGGAACTTAATTATTCAGTATAGTCCTGGAAATGTTTGTAGCTGCTTTAAAATAAGAAAAAAAACAAACAAAAGACAGCCCAGACTCTGAAACATGCCAAAAATTAAAAAAAAAACAAAAACAAAAACAGAATCTACCCCCAGAAAATGAATGACTAAAACACAATTTAAATATGCATATCTGGTGGGAGTGGTTGAGGCCATAGAAAATGATAGTTTTGGCCTATCATTTCTGCATTACCACACTTTGGCAACACACCAAAGTATGTTGTATAGAAAGCCCCTTAAGTTTCTGTAAGGAAATGTAAAGAAAATGATTTTGTAGTTAAAAAAATAATAATAAAAGGCTTGGGAACACTGTGTATGTGTGTGTGTGTGTGTGTGTGTGTGTGTGTATGTATGTAAATATATATATATTTAGGCTCTCATTCTGTCATCCAGGCTGAAGTGCAGTGGTACGATCATAGCTCCCTGCAGCCTTGAACTGCTGGGCTCAGTCAATCCTCCTGCCTTAGCCTCCCAAGAAGCTGGGTCTACAGGCATATGCCACCATGCCTGGCTAATTTCTTTAAAAATTTCTGTAGAGATGCAGTCTTGGTATGTTGCCCAGGCTGGTCTTAAACCCCTGGGTTCAAGTGATCTTCCTGCCTCAGCCTCCCAAAGGCTGGGATTACTGGCGTGAGCCACTAATCTCAGCCAGCACTATATATTCTATCACCCTCTTCAAGATTCACTTTGTACATTGGTATATTGAAGTCTCTGAGGAATCTTGCAATGCATTTGCTTAACTTTTTAACCCGGCATTTTCCATGACCTATCAATAGGGACATGCTGTTTAGGTGCCACAGAAATGGAATCATTTGACCTACCAGATAGGCTGAAGTGAAGAGAGGAAAACTAGCTCTACCGTTGTTACAACAGGCTTCACAGCCTCACGGTTTTTACATATGTGATTTTTCTACGCACAAGACAAGTACTATCTTATAGACAAGGAAACAGGTTTAGAGAGGTTAGATCTGACCCAGAGTTCTTTTCACTATACAGTGCTAGGGTGCTTTATGGTTTATGCGTGCTTTCTCAGAGAAGGCTTTTCTGCTCAGTGTTTTCTGTATAAAATGCAAAGCGTTAGCATCTTGGGACAAACCATGAAGGGACCCCAAATCCTAATTTTTGGCAGTACTCTGTTGGTCTCTCTTTAATTTTCAGTGTTGTTTTTTTTTTTTTTTTGAGACAGAGTATTGCTCTGTCACCCAGGCTGGAGTGCAGTGGCGCAATCTTGGCTCACTGCAACCTCGTCTCTCCCTGGTTCAAGCGATTCTCCTGCCTCAGCCTCCCTAGTAGCTGGGATTACAGGTGCCTGCCACCAAGCTCTGCTAATTTTTGTATTTTTAGTAGAGACAGGGTTTCACCATGTTGGTCAGGCTGGTCTCAAACTCCTGATCTCAGGTGACCGGCCGGCCTCGGCCTCCCAAAGTGCTGGGATTACAGGTGTGAACTACCGTGCACAGCCTAATTTTCAGCTTTTATTTTGATAAAAGTTATACATGTACAGAACTTAAAGAGCCAATTACTGTGAAGTCCATCACTCTTTCCCTACAATCTTTTTCCTTCTCCAGAGGGATCCTTTAGCTGATTCTTTGCTCTTCATGCCCGTGTCTCTAAGTAACCTGCTTGTATTGATACTTGTTGATTTTTGGTTTTGGTATAATTTAATGACTTCTTACCATAGAAAATGAGGATTTAACTTTTTTTCCTCCTGTCCCCACCACATGTGCACATTTCTCGTCCCACCATCCTAATATTTTTGTAGCATAATTTTTGTTAAATATTTAATATTTACCTTCATGTATGTCATTCAAAGGTAGGCCATATTTACATTTCCTTTTATGCACATCTTTTTGTTTTCCCTGGAGTTAATACTTGTCTTATGTTTCATTTGCTTAGTTTCCAATTTATCATTAATTCCACCCCAAACTCTCTAAACTGTCTACATCTCCCTTCAAGATGTCATTCCTAGCCCACCATGGTCTTGAAGAAGCCTCTACCTGGGGCCTCCTGACCTGTTCCAATCTGGACCTCAGTGCCTGGTCATGTTTGGTCATCCTAAGATCGTTATTCCCCTCATCTTAGGGATCTCATTTGCCTCCCACCTGGCTTGGATCTTCTGTTTTCTGGATGCCAAACTTTTGTTTTTCTGCTTTACTCCGATGTTGGTAGAACATTTGCTCCGTTAGCTTCCTAACAGTAGGGAACAAGAAAGTTTTTGAGATTTCCTATGTCTGAAAATATCTTTTATGTCTTTAATCTACTGTCAGATTTGAGAGTTGGAGCAAATATAGAATTTTAAGTTGGAAGTATTTTTTCCTCAGAATCTGTAAAACTATTATTCACCACCAATTACTTCAAGCTTCTAGTTACCATTGAGATGTCTGAAACCATTCTGATTTTTCATCTTTTGTATATTATGTATTCCTTTTTTTCTCTCAGGAAGTCTGTGGAAACTTCTTTCCACAGTGACTTGTGAGTCTTCCCTAGTGACTTGTCTTTTTTTTTTTCAGCTTTTTATGATTTTTTATTATAATTTAAAAGAGGCTATGTAAGTAGAAAAGTTTAATTCCACCTCTGAGATGATCTTTAACATTTTCACATGTATCCTTGAATTATTTATTTCTACATGTTACATTTTAAAGAACTTTTTGTTACACAAAATTCTCTAATAATTGGCTTTTCTGCATTTATAGTATGAACTCACATTTAGAGAAGAATACTTAGACCCCCAAGATCCTAAAACATCTAACTTTATCCATCTCGCTATTCAATCACTAATTATTGGCATCAAATGTGTACGAGGAGCCTTGCTAGCTGCTGAGGTGCTGAATCAGTATGAATTCTGCTAATAACCATTTATAATTTGCCACAGAAAGTTCTCTCATTGCTCTAAGACTAAGACTAGAAACAAAGTGCCGAGGGTATTGGGTCTTTTACGGTTCATTGAGCTGGCACTTAGTGTGGCCCTTTATTCTGGAAACACTTGTCCTTCATTTTAGGAAATCATTTTCTTGACTTATTGCATTGGCCATATACCACCTCCATCTTGTCTGTTCTCTCATTCCTCTTATTCACATGTTGCTACTCTTGGATCATCCAACTAATTTTCACTTCTTTCCTATTTTCCATTTCTTATTTTCTTCTTCTGGAAGCTTTCCTGAACTCCATCTTCCAGCATTGTTTTGGTTTTTAAAATATCTGCTCATATTTTTAATTTTCAAGAATATTTTGTTTTCTAATTTTGCTAACATCTTGTTCTTATTAAAATGGTTTCTCTGAGGAAGTTAATGACAATTTCCCTTTAAATTTTAGTTTTCCTAAATAATCTTAAAGTTGCTTAACTCTATTTGTTGAAGATTTTCCTCAGATAGCCTTTGGCTATTTGCTCATAATTAAAAATTGGAGACTAAAAAGCTGGTTGGAAATTTTAAGCAGAGAGTGGGGCTTGTGGACTGTAGGTTTAACAACAGGTTGATATGTTTGGGCCACTTATTGGGAAAGCCCCAGTGTCACTATCTTTAGCTCTTTCTTCTTGGGCTGGTCAGATTCCTCCAGAGAACCCCCGGCAGCCTGGAGGGTAAGGGCCTGGCTGCCAGCCTTCTAGGAGGAGGGCTGGGCAGTCTCAATTATGTTTGCTTAATTCCTCCAGTGTTTTCAATCTAGTACTCCACCCTCACCTAAAATTCCGTGGTCCAGAGACTCTCTGTTTAAGCTAGGCAGAGAATAAACCTCCAGGATTCTGCTGGGGTTGGGCAGGAATGATCTAGAGATCTGACTATCTGCTTCTTAATAGTTTTCAACCAACTCTTCTGTTTCAGCTGCCTGCCCTTCACCCCTGCTCCATGAGGTAATTCTGCTCCCCTCTGATTTTTTGTATCAGAATTAACTGGCTTGATGAAGGTACCATGCGAAATGAGCTGCTCTTAACTGGGCAGAGGTTTTGCATCAGGCCACCTCACAGGCCAGCCTATGGAAAGCTTCTGGAGGGTCGGTACCCATGTCTGGTCAGTTGGGAACAGAGTGACAGTGCTGCAACTATGCATAAAAAGCTGCCTTTGAAACCTGGGGGCATGAAGGAGACTCAGTGCCACAGACTCTTTCAGAAACAATGTATTCATTTACCTGCAAGAAGAGGAGAATTGCCTTCGAAATTCTTAGCATTTGGATTGCAGCCATTGAGAAGAAGAAAAGTGGCATTTTCTAAGAGGCAACTGCTGACAGCCAAAAAAAGTGGCGTTTCACCATTGTGAGTGGTTTGCTCCCACAGACTGGGGTCTGAAGCTGAAATAAATTCATCATACCACACAAATTAAGATATAGAAATGAATGTTAAATTTATCTCTCAGAAGCATCAAGAAGAATCAAAGGGAATTTACCGCTTAGGGTTATTTCCAAAATTTTCCTATTTAATTGCACTGCAGCCTTATGCAGAGGAATCCAGCCTATCTCATCTGCTTCACCAAATGCGGAATGGTACTTGGTTAAGTGTGACAATGCATCTTCCTTACCTATTAACGAGTCAAATGAGAACAGATTCACATTTGGCACACTTACAAGGAAGCCCATATTGCTTCCTGAATTCTACCACCAAAGTTAATGCATAAGACAACAGAATTCTAGCACCACCTTTTATGAAAGACAAATGGCATATGACAGACAGTAAGGCCGGTCATGTAGCGTTCCGCACCTGGGCATGTGAACACCCCCAGCGTCTTGTTATTTACAAAAAACAGCTCTGTCTAGGAAGGAACCCAGGAGCTCTTTGCTTCATTGAGCTGAAGTATTTTCTCCCAGAAAAGCCTACATCAGACTCTTGACAATCAGCTGTGGACCCCTGTAGTGTTCAGCTCAATGAAGCAAAGAGCTCCTGCTTCTAGGCTTCCTGAGCTTCGAGGGGAAATGCTGCCAGCCATCACCATCATATCTTTCCTTTTTTTTTTTTTTTTTTTTTTGTGAGACGGAGTCTCGCTCTGTTGCCCAGACTGGAGTGTGGTGGCGCAATCTCGGTTTACTGCATCCTCCATCTCCTGGGTTCAAGCAATTCTCCTACCCCACCCTCCCGAGTAGCTGGGATTACAGGCGCCCGCCACCATGCCCGGCTAATTTTTTGCATTTTTAGTAGAGACAGGGGGTTTCACCATGTTGGCCAGGCTGGTCTCGAACTCCTGACCTCAGGCGATCCACCCACCTTGGCCTCCCAAAGTACTGGGATTACAGGCGTGAGCCACTGCATCCAGCCAATGTCACCGTCACATCTTACCACAAGTTAAAGGGGATAGGAGTACTTAACTTTCTCTATTGTTTCAACTATCTTCTTATAGTCAGCGCTCAAAAAGGAATGCAAACTGCAAAGAAAAAAATACATATGTAATTCCAAAACTGAGGAGAAAAAACTGTTATCTGATATAAATCAAAAGGAAAGGGTAATGGTAGCAGTAGTTAATCCGGGATGAACTTTCATAGGAGGCAATGACTGAGGCATAATAGAAATACTTCTATTTGTAAAATGTAATGTGGCCCTTAACAAAATTCTAGGGAAGCTCCCTAACTCTATCTGTCTTCCGCATTAGCCTGTTAGCTTCTTTAGGGCAAGGACTATGTGAGCCTGGATTGCAGTAGGCCCTTAATCAGCGTTGGCTGAACTGAATCAAGCCTGCCTATGACTGAAATGTCACACTATCTCATGGTAAAATTTGATGGCCATTATAGAATGTCAACGATTCTAGCAGAAACTATTTTAAAAAATAGTAAATAAAAATGGTGTCAGTATTAAAAAATATTCACAGTCAGAATGTGTGCTCAGAAATACTATTAGCAGTTAAGTAATGTTTTTATTATTTAAGGCTTTAAATCTCAATTTATGAAACTTATTTTAAAACCTAGCAAATAAGGATTGTCACCTTCCATTCTTTTTTTTTTTTTTTTTTTTTTTGAGATGGAGTCTGTCTCTGTCGCCCAGACTGGAGTGCAGTGGTGCGATCTCAGCTCACTGCAGAGTAGCTGGGACTACAGGTGCCCACCATCACGGCCGGCTAATTTTTTGTATTTTTAGTAGAGATGGGGTTTTACTGTGTTAGCCAGGATGATCTCGATCTCCTGACCTCGTGATCTGCTCGCCTCGGCCTCCCAAAGTGCGGGGATTACAGGCATGAGCCACCACACCCGGCCACCTTCCACTCTAATTATTTAACGAACCCAGGTTGAGGAGAATAAATTCCCTCGGACACTCTGTCCTGTTTACAATTTGGTCAATTACATTATCTTAAACATTTAAACCTGCATTCATAGATTTAGTATTGTGTTAGTTTTCTATAGCTGCTGTAAGAAGTAACCACACACTTAGTGGCTTAAAACAACAATAATAAAACAAATTTATTATCTTACAGTTTAGTAGTTCAGAAATCCAAAACAGTCCTCACCGGACTGAAATCAAGATGTCAGCAGGGCTCTGTTCCTTCTGGAGGCTCTTGGGGAGACTCTATCTCTGCCTTTTCTAGCTTCTAGAAGCCACCCACATTTCTTGGCTGGTGGACTCTCTGCCTCCATCTTCAAAGCCAGCATTGTTGGGCTTAGTCCTTTTAACACTGCCATCTCCCAAGTTGTCTCTCCTGGCTCCCCCTCTTTCACACTTAAAGATCCTGTGTTACACTGGGACCACCTGGGTAATCCAGAGTACACCCCCTATCTAAAAGTCAGCTGATTAGCAGCCATAATTCCATCTGTAGCCTTACTTCTCCTTTGCCATGTAAGGTTCCAGAAATTAGGACATCTTTGGATGGGACCATTACTCCACATGTCACAAGTATGTTCTAGTTTTCTAATTCCTTCAAGTACCTGACTAAATCAGCAAGCCTGCCTAAGTATCATACACTTCCTGCAAATCTAATCAAGTAAATGCATAACCACAGTCAATTTCAGTTTCTCTGAAACATTTCAATACTCTCCTTAGCCCAACTCTCTTATACCTTTCAACCTAAAATTGTAAGTTCAAAGTCAGTTACTCAATTATGCAATTTAAGGTTTTAATCATAAGGTTAATATAACAGATAATCTAATAAGGCTAATTTCTTTACAAAACTTTAAATATTTAAAGATTATTTTAAAAACTAATCCTAAATTGAACACAAAAGTATAGGAATAGTGTGTGGCTAAGAGCACAGACTTTAGAATCAGACTGCCTTGCTCTTCACTTACTAGTTCTGTGACCTTGGGTAAGCCACTTAACTTTTCTGTGCCTCACTTTCCTCCTCTCTAAGTAGGGATAATAATAGGACCTACCTCATAGAGAGGTAATGAGAATTAGAATTTAAAAGTTAGTATTTATGAAGTGCTTAAAATAACATGACACATAGTGATCACTCCATGGTTTGTTACATTTTAAAAATACTATATAGGTTTGATGTACTTCATTGTCTCTATTTAGTTATGAAATCTCTTGGGGTTAAAAGACATTTTTCTAGTTTTACATCCAGCAGGCAAATAGAGATTACCATCCCAAGTAAACTGGGTTATCACCCCTGAAAAAATGATGGTTACTGCCTCAGGAGACCAAGGTTGCTGATTGGCCAGCGAGCGTGTGAGCAGGTGTGCCATATCCAGGACGATTCTTCTTACACCCCACACAGGGTCCCACTGGTCCTTTTTCAGTGTTGTCCAACAAAACTCTGAATCTACACTTTCAGAAGCCTTGTTCAAGTTTATGTAATTCCTCCTTTTGATTTGAGTAGATCAAAGACTGGACCCCATCCCCACCTACCCTACTAAGGTTGAAGATAACTAACTTTCTATGTGTCCCGGTTGGATTTATGCATTTCTTCAATTCCCAAAGACAAGATGTATTAGTTTTTCTCTAGCCCTTCATATCCTCCTTTCTTTCTTCTGATTTCCAGTCTGTATCACCTCACCCAGATTTGCTGCTAACCTCCTTCAGATATTTTTATTGCCTAATTAAATTCTGAATTATTTCCAGATTATTCCTGTCTAGTTAGGCATAATATCTTACAGATATTTAATTGACAGCTCCTTGGATTCTGACCCTCCTGTTTTTGTCACAACACTAGAGTTAAGCTAATGACAAGTGTCAGCTGTTGAATACAACACTTAATACTATATTGCCGATGAGAAAACCATTACCTCTCATCCTTAGGTGCATGTTGTGCTGTTCCTGGCTTATAAATATCCTGCAAACTCTGTTGAATGATGAGCTGGGTGTCAAAGTCTTCATCTATGTCTTCATCGCTGGTGTAATTATCCATGTGAAACGTGGACAGGTTTACTTTAAAGTCAGAGTGAATTAAAAGTATTTTTCCAGTTGTGAAGAGATCAACTGCTTAAAATTACAAATGAAATTCAGAAATCTAGAAAATTGGTAGGATTAACAATGAAAAATATACAAAATTTAGGAAACAAAATATTCACTAAAAAATTTCTATAAACTTAAAAAAGTTTTGTGGACTGCCACAGATTCAACAAAAATTAGAAGTTTCCATGAGTAGCCATTGACTTAAAGCTTATTCAGGAAAAACCACCTTTCAAATAAGACTTCGGTTAGTGCCACTCTAACACTGACAACACTCTGATCTGTTCAACTTGGCTGTGAGTCTTTCACAGTGATTGTAGCACTCATCCAAAATAATATCTTTCCTACACACAGTGTGATGCTGAAAATAATATTTTACTTAATATACATTAAAAATAAACATGTTATAGGAACAAATGTATTCTCATAATTACAACATGGATACAGCAGTAGTAAAAACAAATGTATCTTACTAGGCAATATCTAAATGGTTTTAAAAGAAAAATGTCAGTTTTAGCATAGAATACATTTGGTCACATTTCAAAGACTTTTTACCTTTTGTTTTATCCTCTAGGACAGCAGTGAAGTTTTCACTGTTAAGGACTAACACATGTAAGCCTCAGAATTTTCATTTATATTTAGGCTCTCCTCTCCCCTGTAGTGACCATTCCATTAATAGCTTTACTATAAATACTTCATCATAAGACAGTTTGGCACATTCTCCTTGTTTTTTACATGTGGTTTAGCTCTTTTTGGAAACATGATCTCTTTTCTTCAGTGCTACATTCATCAAATTTAAAGGATTAAATATTTTATTCCTGGAATAAAATGCTTTTGCAGGGGGTTGGCCATGCAAAGAGAATTCATGCACATAGCCACTGCAAACCACAATCAATTTTTCACTTAAGAGAACCCAAACATTTTGCTCTGACCCAATTATCCAAAGTGACTGTCCCAATGTACTAGATTCACTAGGTAGCTGTGACTACATTTTCCTTGGGTTACAGAACTGTGGCCTTCAGTGTCCTTGGAATCCTAAGGGAAGAATTCACTCTACACAAGATAAAATTTTGATCAAAATTCTGTTTTGTTGAAATATTTTTAAATTGTTAATATACACTAAAAAAAGCAAAGGGACCACTTGACATTTCAAATTAAATATGAAGCAAATGCCGAGAAGCACACTGTCACTGCAGGTGTAGAAGTTCGGACTGCCCTCAAGCCATCCTACTGCCTTTGCAGGCCAACTTCGCAGCTTTGAGTTTCCTTTCCTAGTCACAAGGATGCAGTGAGAAATGGAACCGATGTCTTAGAGGTAAGAAATAAAGAGGTATAGTTGGGTAACTTTTAATATTTTCCATATTTATAATTTCTTAATTTATGTATTTGAAATATTTATGTATAATTACTTTAGGTAGGAGAGTGGAAAGTAAACTATACTGAAGCTGAAGGAATGACTTAACATTTGTGAAGGAGATAATTCCTGATATTTGTTAAATGTTACCGTTTAACCCCCAAATCTATTTTTCACATACAATCAAACTTCAAAAAGTTCTCCTCAGAAAGGAGAACAATGCAATGAGTGTTTGCAAAGATCATTTAAAAGAATAACACCAAAACACTTGGTTTTATAATGTATATATTTTAAGTAGGACAGGTTTTTTTTTTTTTAAACTTTTGGATGTTTTATAAATTTGTCCAATTTAGTCATCCAACTGACAAAGCAAAGCAACCCCGCGCTTGATCCAGTGCCGAGTAGGTTGGTCTGTTTTTAACAACATTGCAATGACAAAGTTAGTAGAATGTCCCGTAGTGGAAAGAGTTCCTTTACGTTCACTTGTCTTGTAGAGGGGACAGACATAGGCATCCGACTTTATAATCCGAGATTTTTGAGCTTGAAAAAAAAAAAGAAATATATTCACTTGATAAAGGGAAAAACAGCCATTGGTACGAAAAGAACTATTTATCTTGTAATAAAATGGCCAGAACTAAATCTAAGATCATAATTGTGATATATGAAGGTTTTACAGCATATATATTTTTTTACAGTACATATAGTATTACGGTTGTGAAACAAGGCAAGTATTTCTTTTCTTTTCTTTTTTTTTTTTTTTTTGGAGACTGAGTCTCACTCTGTCACCTAGGCTGGAGTACAGTGGCACAATCTCGGCTCACTGCAACCTCTGCCTCCCAGGTTCAAGCGATTCTCTTGTCTCAGCCTCCTGAGTAGGTGGGACTACAGGTGCCTGCCACCATGCCTTGCTAATTTTTGTATTTTTAGTAGAGACGGGGTTTCACTATGTTGGCCAGGCTGGTCTTGAACCCCTGACCTCGTGATCTGCCCGCCTCAGCCTCCCAAAGTGCTGGGATTACAGGCGTGAGCCACTGCGCCCAGCCCAAGGCAAGTATTTCGTATGGTGCATGATTCTAGGTGTGGAAGACAGGAATAGACTTTAAAGTTCTGACCGCTTAGCAGGCATGAGAAAACTCAAGAGGATTTGGGAGGGGAGAATGAGAAGGGAGGGAAGAAGGAATAAAATACAGTATAGGTAGTGGGGGAGACTCAAAAGAAGAAATACAACTGCTTAGAGCTCTAATCCAAGAAACCCACACATTAGAAGAAGCTGACGTTTCTATTTGTTTTTAGCAGGTAAATAATAAGAAAAACATGTCAACTCTTACCAATTCATGAAAAGAAACTATATACAATCCCCAAAAAGCCAGATATAAGATATTAAGAGTCTTTCCAAACTAAGGTCACGTTTCTCATAGTTATAACTGAACCACATTCGTAATGAGAATATTTGATAGGTTGGATGGTGATTCTGGGTGATCAGTAAATATTTTAAGAAATTGTTGTTATTTAAGAATTAAAAAGTTAGGGAAGAGAAAACAAAAGAATGAGACTTTTTTTTCCAGACTTGTAGAAAGATGATGATGGCAGAAGCAGGGGAGGAGCAAGCAGTTTCCTAAATGGGGCAAAATTGGCCCCCACCCCATGTGGCTAGCAACATCTATGCCTTGGGGGACCTGGCTGGCTCCTAGGCCTAGCAGTTTCTTATAGCCAGAAAATGCTAGTCACTAGCGGGAGACTGTGTCAAGCTAATTTGTGCCTCTGAGCAATGTGTAAAGGGAATTCAGAATCAAAATATGGATGGGCAGCTGTTCAATCTGTGAACCCCCTTGTAGAAGTGGGGGGAGGGGCTGAAAAGAATGACATATCCCATAGGCTACGATAAAAAAGCAGCATGGTATTCCCAAAATAATATAAATGCCATACACACAAAGAGATAATAATAATTTCTAATGTAAATGTTCTATTAATGTTTATTATAATTGAGCTAGATCCTAAAAGGTTTGAGCAAAAACTTATTTTGGGGAGCAGTGTATAATATCCATCCTTATTCTCCCTAAACTTCAAATAAATTTTGTTGAGAGAATATTTACTTGGTTTTATCCATATGATGGGCATCAGGTCAAACAGAAGTTTGGGATATTGTTCAGCAAGCAATCCACTGTAACGAGAAATTGACAGAAATTATTAGAAATAACATGAAATTCACTTCTGAGAACAGATTGCTACTTAGATATTGGCTTTTACTAAAAGAAAGGACTAGAGGCATAGAGAAAAAGAAATGTAAAAAAAGAAAATGAGAAAATGGCAATGAAGAATTGAGAGAAACAAAAGACAATGATGGAAAGGCAAAGGGTAAACAGTGGACACATATGAATGTCTGCCAATTTTTAATGATTGTCCATGTGGCCAGGGCTCCAAGGGAAACTTTGTCTCCTTTTCTCTATCCCATATATTTTAAACAGGAATAGTATTGCTTAATTTCCTGAGTGAAGCAGGAAATTCAGTATTTATTGTAAATATTTATTTATTATCTCATCAAAATGCAAGAAAAGGTTTCCCATTCACTAACAGAAAGGTGAACTTCATTATAACTAACTGTAAACCATTTAAAAGTGAGGTGGTCCTACACATTACAAAATAGAAGGAAACTGTTATAAAATGGAATAGGCAGGAAAATAATTTCAGCTAACTTTTCTACTAATAAGACTACTGAAATATTGACTAAAAATTATTCAAGACCTAAAAATAACAACTCATCAGTTGCCCCAGCTTGACTAATAATTTATGTGAGAGTTCTGATGTTATTATTACTTGCCTTAAAAGAGGACTTTTTTTTTAAGCAACAGATTGCTTATCTTATCTATGATTCAGCTACAAATGAAGAGGTCCTGGCAGCTGAATCCACTGACCTTTCTCGGTCCCAGCGTGCGCCATCGAGATACAGTCCGTGGATATAAACACCATCTTCTGGTGATGTGTCAGATGTATCAGATGGGATAACCTGAAGGGATAGGCACACACTAGCAGTGATCCTCTCCAGACAACTTCATCTCATAAAGAACACATTAGCGAAATATTCAGAACACATTCAGGGAAACTCTATTGTATAATAGCTTGTTAAACTATACATTTTTTCAGCCGTAGTTTGTAAAAAAGTATAAAAGTACTTCTTTTTGAAGTATTTTATCAGATTGTACTGTACCTCATAATTTTTGCTAAAGTAGAAGAACAGCGTTGGATTATTTAAATCAAATATTGCAATATATAAAAGTTCTAAGGGATAGCAAGACAAATATTCTTACAACACAAAGAATGAAGTAAAATTGCTTACAATGGGTTACAATACATAAACTCGGTTTAAATACATGACTTAATGTAATGATATACTGTTGACTTTAAGGAGTTACTATACCTCAAATTCATATCCTAGCAAATCAATAGGGGTGGTATATTTTCTGGCATAATTCTGCATAGCTCCAGTTAAAAAGGCCTGAGTGAAAAAGAAACCTGACAGCCAAAACACACAAGGTTTTCCTGAATTATACCAGTCCTACAAAGGGAAAACAAAACACATTATGTCAGTTTTTAAAGTTATACAAGTGCCACCTGATGTACAATTCCTGATTCTGGTTTTTGCTTATGTTGCCCACATTTTCCATCACGAGGCCCTCTTCCCTGACGTCAAACACACAGCCTACCTTGGCCCTCTCACCTCTTTCCCCTTCTACTCTTCTTGGAAAACTCAGAACAATTTGAGCATTAACGTGAATGAAACATAGTTTGAAGAGTCAAATCTTCTGCAAAAGCCAAATGTAAATTATTTGATGCTTTATTATATCATCCCACTCAAAAGCAACCATCATTAGACATCTTACACATTGTCTAATTATAGACCTCATTTGTTGATTCCAGTTCCTTAACCCTATTTTTTTTTTTTTTGAGATGAAATCGCGCACCATTACCCAGGCTGGAGTGCAGTGGCATGATCTTAGCTCACTGCAGCCTCTGCCTCCTGGGTTCGAGTGATTCTCCTGTCTCAGCCTCCTGAGTAGCTGGGATTACAGGCGTGCACCACCATGCCTGGCTAGTTTTTGTATTTCTAGTAGAGATGGGGTTTCAGCATGTTGGCCAGGCTGGTCTGGAACTCCTGACTTCAAGTGATCTGCCTACCTTGGCCTCCCAAAGTCCTGGGATCACAGGTGTGAGCCACCGCGCCCGGCCCCCAGTTCCTTAACCCTCTTAAACCCCTTGTCTCTGTGTCCACTGCCCTCACTCCAGTTCAGCTATTCATGGTCTTCTTTCTGTACCAGTGCATGTTGTCTTCTTGCTTCTTCCCTTTCTGCTCAATCTATCCAGAAGAATTGCCAGAATATAACTCACCGTGCAGAATTTGGATCAGACGTAGCATCTTGCATCAGTGTAGCATCAGTGACCTACCAAATTGTTCAGTGATGCACCAAATTAAAGCTTAAGCCTCTTGGTCTCCTATTCAAGATACTTCACACAAACAAACAAACCAAAAACATAGATACTTCACAATCCATCCCCAATGTATTTTCAGTTCTATTATATCTCTTTTACTTCCTTTCAGGCATCCTGCATTCTAATCTGGACTGGACTAAAGGGACTGGACTATTTGCTGGTCTCTTTGTGCTGGGTGGACATTTGTTGTTTTCCTGCCTATCTTGAAGTGATACCATCCTTCTCAGTCCAAGCTTCTCAGTCCAGGCACCTCTGGTGGTAGAACTCCACCTAGCCATGCAGGGTAGGCTGGTGACTCACACCTGGCCAGTCATACTTCCAGCCTGAGTGACTGATTCAGAAATGGACATGTGACCCAATCAAAGCCAGAGATGCAGAAACTCTTGCTGGGACTTTCGGAGAAAAGACTCACTCTCAACTCCTCAAAGTTGGGTGGATGTGAGGCCAGAGTTGCTGTTGCTATCTTGCTACCATCAGATGACAGCCTGAGAATGGAGTTTACCCAAAGGGAATGGAGACAACAGATGAAGTGCAAGAAGCCAGGACAAGATATCCATGTTTGCACCCTGGTCAAATGTTACCTGAAGCCACTTTAGCTCCTGGAGTTTGCAGTTACATGAGGGAACAAACTTCATTTTTGCTTATGTCAGAATTTTTGTTACTTATAATGGAATCAATCCAAAGTGGTACAGTGCTTTTTATCCCATAAGCTACATAGTGATCTCTTTTTCCTTTCTTTGCAGTATCTAAACCATTCATTCTTTAAATCCCACTTAAATGCTACCTCATCCATGAAACAATCTCTGCTTTCTTGTGCCATAAGAACTCTCTCCCTTCTTTGAAATCCCAGAGCATTTTACATGTTGGTCTCTTATGGAACATCCCTTACTATAGTGTACTAATTTTCTTTAGATACATGGCTTGTCCCCTGTAAGCTCTTGGCAGCTTCAGGGCAGGACTTTTGTTGTGATTATCTTTTTATCACAGGACACACAAGGTGCTTTGAATAAAATGAGGTCTCAATTCATATTTATGGAATGAACAGATGAATCAATGAAATGGACTTTGTCTCTGAGCAGGCAATACACTCTGGGAAGAAGCCAGTTTTGCTCCATAGGAGGAAGAGAACAAACTGCTGCTGGAGATGCTGCAACAGTACAAGCTGTCAGGTCAAGAAGAGGCAGAGAAAGAGATGAAGTCTGACAAGGGTAAAACCAGGGAGAGCGAGCACCAAGCACAAGAAAGCTGTAAAGACCCACAAGGCAAACATTTAGAAAACCCACTCGCCCGTGGCTTCCTTTATCCCAGAGTGTCATTAGTGTCTGTGGTCAGCTACTTGTACTACCTCTGAATTAGCTACCATTTACTAAGTGCTTAGTACATGCCAGGCACTGTGCTAAACATTTCATATGCATTGCCTCATTTACTCTATAAAATAACAGTGAGTTGAATATTATTTCTGTCATTTTACAGATGAAGAAACTGGGGTACAGAAAGATGAGTAACTTGCTAAAAGTCACAAAGATAGTTAAGTGTTAGATCAGGATTTATGCTGGGATTTTAGGCAGTGTGCAAAAAGTTTTTTTTTTAAAAAAAAGGCACAGGAAGGAGAGAATGTGAAGATGCTATGGACTGAATGTTTGTTTTCCTCCAAAATTCATAGATTGAAACCCTCATCTCCAAGGTGATGGTATTTGGAGATGGAGCCTTTGGGAGGTAATTAGGTCATAAGGGTGGAGCCCTCATGATAGGATTAGCACCCTTATAAGAAGAAACAGAAGAGACATTTTTCTCTTTTTCTCTCATCGTGAACCAGGAGAGCTGTCACCAGTAACCTGACCATGATGGCATCTTGATCTCAGACTTTCCAGCCTCCAGAGCTTGAGAAATAAATGTCTGTTCTTTAAGTTATCTAGTCTATTTTGCTTTTTTATAGCAGCCTGAACTGACTAAAAAGGAGATCGATAGGGTGAACAGTGAGAGAGAAATGAGGAAAGTGTAGAGTCCTGTAACAATGAGGAAAGGGCCCCACGTGGGGGAGAACAATTGTTCTGAAAAATGTCTAATTACAGACAATCCACTAGCACATCTTGTTTCCAAATACCTTGCTGTGCCTGTAGCCCGAGCAGCACCACCTTGTTCTGCATAGCCCCTCTAGTACCACCCTACAAAACTTCCCTCCAGCCCCTGGTTCTTTGCAGATAGCCTCTTCTCTGCTGTGCTGCCCACTGCACTGTTTCAATGTATTTTCATACTTTCTCTAATAAATCTGCCTTTCTTTACCTACGATTGTCTTGGTAAATTGTTTTACTGACCATGACGCTGGCCCCAGTCAGTTGCACCCAAGACAGAAATAATAGAAAATTCAGATGACTCATTTGCTTAACTTGTTAACTCTAAGAACCATTAGGAGGTAAAGAAGAGTCCAAGAGAAAGAAAGATAATGAGAGAACTATAGCTTCTATAAGGGTAAGAGAACAATGGAGGAAACCCTTTCAATATTCTGTTTTGTATTATTCCTTTTGTTAAACATATAATCTACATGAAAAGCTCCTATCAATTAATAAATAATACAAAAGAAAAATGGGCCTAGGATATGAATTGACAGTACACACACACACCCACACACACCACAAATGGAAATCACACATACTAAAGAAGCATAGGCTCACTAGTCATTAAAGAAAGTCGAATGGAAACAGCAAGATATGGTTGACCTATCAGATTGGCAAAAATTTTAAAGCGATATAGGAGAAAGTCTGTCTCTCTACATTCTTACAAGCACTGGTTATTTTATGATTAGCTTATACAGTGAAAGAAAGCTTTTGTGCAATAAAAAGGCAACTGAACACTGAAAGATCATATACCTTTGAGAATTTCCAAAAAAAAAATAGTTTTGGGATTCTCCCCACCCCATACTCCTTCATAAACATCAACCATAGAATGGGGGCAGGCAGTGGAGTTGAGAAGGAAAAGCAGTGTTCTGTCTGATGTTTATGCTGGGGGGAGGGCAGAGGGGGCATTCAAAATACTTATCTTTTCCCTGGTTTTCTGAGATAAGAGGCACTGATTTAAAGACAATGGCCAATTATTGATAAACCCAAGCCTCTGGCCTGTAATCCCAGTGCTTTGGGAGGCCAAGGTGGGAGGATTGCTTGAGGTCAGGAGTGAGGCACCAGCGTGGGGTACTTGGTGAGACTCCATCTCTACAAAAAGTAAAATTAGCCACGTATGGTGGCACATGCCTGTAGTTCCAGTTATTCAAGAGGATCCCAGGATTTTGAGATTACAGTGAGCTAAGATCACACCACTGCACTCCAGCCTGGATGACAGAGCAAGACCCTGTCTCAAAAAAAAAAAAAAAAAAAAAAAAAAAAAAAAAAAAATCCAAGCCTCAGGATTTTTGACTTACCATCAGTATTAAAATCACAAGACAACTTTAAACTGTGGTCTTACAGGACCACAAACTTAGAATCTTGGTCTCAGAAAACCACAAACTTCGAATTTTGAAAAATATAAATGTCACATATTACATTGGTTTGGCTGAAGTATAATTTTAATTTTCCACTCAGTACTTTGAAATGTGTATATTTTTCAATATTCTAAAATTTTCATCAGACTATCACAAAGCTACTCATCACATTTCATTCAACTCAGAGACACTCAAGTGACCACAGCCAACAACTAATATCTCCCCAGTTAACCCAAAAAATAAAATTTTACATGTGTCTGTATATTTTACATATTTATACATGTATTTTACACACACACACACACACACACACACACACACACACACACACACACACACATTTTACCTGTAAAAAGTTCAACCGGGCTAGGAAATCTGTGATGTAACTTCCCAGGGGCTTAAGGCTTGGGTATGAACGTTTGGCCCATATTTCTGGAACCTTTCCAACAAGTAAGCTACCGGAGAGTGCCTCCAATGCAGAATCCATCACAACCACACCCTTAATAGCTTTTTCAAGGTCCCGTAGAGTGTTACGTATAGTTATAATTAAACTGCAATGAAAGAAATTATGTCATCAACATATATGATGATATCAACATACGGTCTTTCCAGAAGAAGAACAGCAGGAATTTCATTCCCAGCTTTATGGGATTGCTTCCCAAAATGTGTCACCTCCCATGTGGTGGTACGTGAGCTAATGTTAAGTGATACATGTATGAACATTTTTCATTTTAATCATTACATACATATTTTAAAATATAGAAAGTAATACAACTAGCATATCAAAATTTTTGCTTTCTGGCTATTTTTGCTTAGGACCTGGCTAATTTAAGCAGACAATGATTTAAGGAAAAATATTAGGTAAGTAATATTTCAGGTGACAGGCAAATATGAAAAAGCTGTAATGATGTCGTGCAATGGCTGAAACAAACACTGCATGAAAACATAAATTGTATATTCATTTATACACTTGCAAATACTTTACTTGCACTTAGGCCCAACTTGTTAAGAATACCATAAATATACTTGTAGTGAGAGTTTTTAGGCTAGAAGCCTGAGCAGCTGAGAGATACTGTGTTATTATATATACATAAATATAACTTTTGTATAAGAAATGCTGAATTAACTAAGGCATCAGGTGTATATATATATATATATATATATATATATATATATGTATTTTTTTTTTTTTTTTTTTTTTTTTTGAGACAGAGTTTCATTCTGTTGCCCAGGCTGGAGTGCAGCGGCATGATCTCGGCTCACTGCAACCTCCCCCTCCCAGGTTCAAGCAATTCTCCTGCCTCAGCCTCCTGCGTAACTGAGATTGCAGGCATGCACCACCACACCCAGCTAATTTCTGTATTTTTAGTAGAGAAGGGGTTTCACCATGTTGGCCAGGCTGGTCTCGAACTCCTGACCTCAGGTGATTCACCTGCCTCGGCCTCCCAAAGTGCTGGGATTACAGGCGTGAGCCACTGCGCCTGGCCAGGTAGCAGAAAAATGACAAAAGATGTGACTACACATAGGTCTAGCTAATGTTTATTCTGTCTCTAATTCCTAAGAAGAATAGTTAACAGATGGATGAGAAGTTATGATTAATGAATATTTTTAACCAGTAATAACAGATCTCTTTTCATCATCATTTTTACATTTTAAAAAATACCCACTCAACTGGGCGTGGTGGCTCACGCCTGTAATCCCAGCACTTGGAGAGGCCGACGCGGGTGCATCACGAGGTCAGGAGATCGAGACCATCCTGGCTAACATGGTGAAACCCCATCTCTACTAAAAATACAAAAAATTAGCCAGTCGTGGTGGTGGGCGCCTGTAGTCCCAGCTACTCAGGAGGCTGAGTCAGGAGAATGGCGTGAACCCAGGAGGCAGAGCTTGCAGTGAGCCCAGATCTTGCCACTGCACTCCAGCCTGGGCGACAGAGCAAAGACGCCAGCTCAAAAAAAAAAAAAAAAAAAAGATACCCTCTCTTCTGAGACAGAAGATATGGAACTTTTTCTTTCTTTTCTTTTTCTTTTTTTTTTTTTTTGAGACAAGGTCTCACTGTGTAACACAGGCTGGAGTGCAGTGCCACGATCTCTGTTCACTGCAGCCTCCATCTCCCAGGCTCAAGCGATTCTCCCACCTTGGCCTCCCAAGTAGCTGAGACTACAGGTGCCCGCTACCACGCCTGGATAATTTTTAAATTTTTGTTGACGGGGTTTTGCCATGTTTCCGAAGCTGGGATTTCAGGGCTCAAGCGATCCTCCTGCCTCGGCCTTATAAAGTGTTGGGGTTATAGTATGAGTCACTGAGCCTGGCCAGAACTTTTTAAAAGGGGAAAATTCCAATGAAATGACAGGATTTAATAGTCTTTTCAGCTCAATACCATTGTGTGTTTTTATTGACTTTGGATGGTTGCTGTCAGGACTCTGAGCCCAAGCTAAGCCATCATATCCCCTGTGACCTGCACGTATACATCCAGATGGCCTGAAGTAACTGAAGAATCACAAAAGAAGTGAAATTTAAATGGCCTGTTCCTGCCTTAACTGATGCCATTCCACCCCAAAAGAAGTGAAAATGGCTGGTCCATGCCTTAACTGATGACATTACCTTGTGAAATTCCTTTTCCTGGCTCATCCTGGCTCAAAAATCTCCCCCACTGAGCACCTTGTGACCCCCCACTCCTGCCCGCCAGAGAACAACCCCCCTTTGACTGTAATTTTCCTTTACCTACCCAAATCTTATAAAACGGCCCCACCCCATCTCCCTTCACTGACAAAACCTCTCTTTTCGGACTCAGCCTGCGTGCACCCAGGTGATTAAAAGCTTTATTGCTCACAGAAAGCCTGTTTGGTGGTCTCTCCACATGGAAGCGAGTGAAATTTGGTGCCATGACTCGGATCGGGGGACCTCCCTTGGGAGATCACTCCCCTGTCCTCCTGCTCTTTGCTCGGTGAGAAAGATCCACCTATGACCTCGGGTCCTCAGACCGACCAGCCCAAGGAATATCTCACCAATTTTAAATCAGGTAAGCAGCCTTTTTTTTACTCTCTTCTCCAACCTCTCTTACTATCCCTCAACCTCTTTCTCCTTTCAATCTTGGCGCCAAACTTCAATCTCTCTCTTCTCTCAATTTCAGTTCCTTTCCTTTTCTGGTAGAGACAAAGGAGATGCATTTTATCCGTGAACCCAAAACTCCGGCGCTGAACATGGACTTGGGAAGACAGTCTTCCCTTGGTTTTTAATCACGCAGGGGACACCTGCCTGATTATTCACCCACGTTTCAGAGGTGTCTGACCACACAGGGATGCCTGCCTTGGTCCTTCACCCTTAGCAGCAAGTACCGCTTTTCTGGAGGGCCAGAACCCCCCGACCCCTTTTCTCCGTGTCTCTACACCTTTTCTGCTTTTCTGGAGGGCAAGAACTCTCTGACCCCTTCTCTCCATGTCTCTACCCCTTCTCCACTTTCCTGGGGGGCAAGCACCCCCCACCCCTTCTCTTCGTGTCTCTACTCTCTTTTCTCTGGGCTTGCCTCCTTCACCATGGGCAGCCTTCCACCCTCCATTCCTCCTTTTTCTCCCTTAGCCTGTGTTCTGAAGAACTTAAAACCTCTTCAACTCACACCTGACCTAAACCTAAATGCCTCATTTTCTTCTGCAATGCCGCTTGACCCCAATACAAACTCGACAGTGGTTCCAAATAGCCAGAAAACGGCACTTTCGATTTTTCCATCCTACAAGATCTAAATAATTCTTATTGTAAAATAGGCAAACAGTCTGAGGTGCCTGACGTCCAGGCATTCTTTTACACATTGTTCCCTCCCTAGTCTCTGTTCCCGATGCGACTCATCCCAAACCCTCCTTCTTTCCCTCTCACCTCTCCCCTCAATCCCAACCCCAAGCGTCGCTGAGTCTTTCTAATCTTCCTTTTCTACAGACCCATCTGACCTCTCCCCTCCTCCCCAGGCTGCTCCTCGCCAGGCCGAGCTAGGTCCCAATTCTTCCTCAGCCTCCGCTCCTCCACCCTATAATCTTTTTATCACCTCCCCTCCTCACACCCGGTCCAGCTTACAGTTTCATTCCGCGACTAGCCCTCCCCCTCCTGCCCAGCAATTTACTCTTAAAAAGGTGGCTGGAGCTAAAGACATAGTCAAGGTTAATGCTCCTTTTTCTTTATCCCACTTCTCCCAAATCAGTTAGTGTTTAGGCTCTTTTTCATCAAATATGAAAAACCCAGCCAGTTCATGACTCATTTGGCGGCAACCCTGAGACGCTTTACAGCCCTAGACCCTAAAAGGTCAAAAGGCCGTCTTATTCTCAATATACATTTTATTACCCAATCCGCTTCTGACTTTAAATAAAGCTCCAAAAATTAAATTCCGGCCCTCAAACCCCACAACAGGACTTAATTAACCTTGCCTTCAAGGTGTATGATAATAGAAAAAAGTTGCAATTCCTTGCCTCCACTGTGAGACAAACCCCAGCCACGTCTCCAGCACACAAGAACTTCAAAACGCCTGAACCGCAGCACCGAGGCTTTCCTCCAGAACCTCCTCCCCCAGGAGCTTGCTACAAGTGCCAGAAATCTGGCCACTGGGCCAAGAAATGCCCGCAGCCCGGGATTCCTCATAAGCCACGTCCCATCTGTGCGGGACCCCACTGAAAATCGGACCGTTCAACTCACCTGGCAGCCACTCCCAGAGCCCCTGGAACTCTGGCCCAAGGCTCTCTGACTGACTCCTTCCCAGATCTTCTCCGCTTAGCGGCTGAAGACTGACACTGCCCGATCGCCTCAGAAGCCCCTAAACCATCACGGATGCCAAGCTTCGGGTAACTCTCACAGTGGAAGGTAAGTCCGTCCCCTTCTTAATCAATACAGAGGCTACCCACTTCACATTACCTTCTTTTCAAGGGTCTGTTTCCCTTGCCGCCATAACTGTTGTGGGTATTGACGGCCAGGCTTCTAAACCTCTTAAAACTCCCCAACTCTGGTGCCAACTTAGACAATACTCTTTTAAGCACTCCTTTTTAGTTATCCCCACCTGCCCAGTTCCCTTATTAGGCTGAGACACTTTAACTAAATTATCTGCTTCCCTGACTATTCCTGGGCTACAGCCACACCTCATTGCCGCCTTTTCCCCCAGTTCAAAGCCTGCTTCACATCCTCCCCTTGTATCTCCCCACCTTAACCCACAAGTATAGGACACTGCTACTCCCTCCTTAGCGACCGATCATGCACCCCTTACCATCCCATTAAAACCTAATCACCCTTACCCCGCATAATGCCAATATCCCATCCCACAGCACACTTTAAGAGGATTAAAGTCTGTTATCACTCGCCTGCCACAGCATGGCCTTTTAAAGCCTATAAACTCCCCTTACAATTCCCCCATTTTACCTGTCCTAAAACCAGACAAGGCTTACAGGTTAGTTCAGGATCTGTGCCTTATCAACCAAATTGTTTTGCCTATCCACCCCGTGGTGCCAAACCCATATACTCTCCTATCCTCAATACCTCCCTACACAACCCATTATTCTGTTCTGGATCTTAAACATGCTTTCTTTACTATTCTTTGCACCCTTCATCCCAGCCTCTCTTCGCTTTCACTTGGACTGACCCTGACACCCATCAGGCTCAGCAAACTACCTGGGCTGTACTGCCACAAGGCTTCAGACAGCCCCCATTTCTTCAGTCACGCCCAAATTTCTTCCTCATCTGTTACCTATCTCGGCATAATTCTCATAAAAACACATGTGCTCTCCCTGCCGATCGTGTCCGACTGATCTCTCAAACCCCAGCACCTACAAAACAACAACTCCTTTCCTTCCTAGGCATGGTTAGATACGACTTTAGATACCTGGTTTTGCCAAAAAACATTATATAAACTCACAAAAGGAAACCTAGCTGACCCCATAGATCCTAAATCCTTTCCCCACTCCTCTTTCCATTCCTTGAAGACAGCTTTAGAGACTGCCCCCACCCTAGCTCTCCCTGACTCATCCCAACCCTTTTCATTACCCACAGCCCAAATACGGGGCTGTGCAGTCAGAATTCTTACACAAGAACTGCGACTGCGCCCTGTAGCCTTTTTATCCAAACAACTTGACCTTACTGTTTTGCCTAGCCCTCAAGTCTGCGTGCAGTGGCCGCCACCACCCTAATACTTTTAGAGGCCCTTAAAATCACAAACTATGCTCAACTCACTCTCTATAGTTCTCATAATTTCCAAAATCTATTTTCTTCCTCACACCTGACACATACACTTTCTGCTCCCTGGCTCCTTCAGCTGTACTCACTCTTTGTTGAGTCTCCCACAATTACCATTGTTCCTGGCAGGGACTACAATCTGGCCTCCCACATTATTCCTGATACCACACCTGACCCCCATAACTGTATCTCTCTGATCCACCTGACATTCACCCCATTTTCCCATATTTCCTTCTTTCCTGTTCCTCACCCTGATCACACTTGGTTTACTGATGGCAGTTCCACCAGGCCTAATTGCCACACACCAGCAAAGGCAGGCTATGCTATAGTACAAGCCACTAACCTGCCTCTTAGAACCTCTCATTTCCTTTCCATCGTGGAACTCTATCCTCAAGGAAATAACTTCTCAGTGTTCCATCTGCTATTCTACTACTCTTCAGGGATTATTCAGGCCCCCTCCCTTCCCTACACATCAAGCTCAGGGATTTGCCCCCGCCCAGGACTGGCAAATTGGCTTTACTTGACATGCCCTGAGTCAGGAAACTAAAATACCTCTTGGTCTGGGTAGACACTTTCACTGGATAGGTAGAGGCCTTTCCCACAGGGTCTAAGAAGGCCACCATGGTCACTTCTTCCCTTCTGTCAGACATAATTCCTCTCTCTGGCCTTCCCACCTCTATACAGTCCTATAATGGACCGGACTTTATTAGTCAAATCACCCAAGCAGTTCCTCAGGCTCTTAGTATTCAGTGAACTAATGGTCTTTTAAAAACACACCTCGCCAAGCTCAGCCACCAACTTAAAAATGACTGGACAATACTTTTACCACTTGCCCTTCTCAGAATTCAGGCCTGTCCTCAGAATGCTACAAGGTACAGCCCATTTAAGCTCCTGTATAGACACTCCTTTTTATTAGGCCCCAGTCTCATTCCAGACACCAGATCAACTTGGACTGTGCCCCAAAAAACTTGTCATCCCTGCTATCTTGTCTAGTCATACTCCTATTCACCATTCTCAACTACTCATAAATGCCCTGCTCTTGTTTACACTGCCGGTTTACACTGTTTTCCAAGCCATCACAGCTGATATCTCCTGGTGCTATCCCCAAACCGCCACTCTTAACTCTTAAAGTAAATAAATAATCTTTGCTGGCAAGGCTACGCTGAACCTCCTCAGGCACTCTCTAATTAGATGTCCTAGGTCCTCCCAATTCTTAGTCCTTTAATACCTGTTTTTCTTCTTCTCTTATTCCATTTAATTTTTTAATTCATACAAAACCGTATCCAGGCCATCACCAATAATTCTGTAAGACAAATGTTTCTTCTAACAACCCTACAATATCACCCCTTACCACAAAATCTGCCTTCAGCTTAATCTCTCCCACTCTAGGTTCCCACACCGCCCCTAATCCCGCTTGAAGCAGCCCTGAGAAACATCGCCCATTCTCTCTTCATACCACCCTCAAAATTTTCGCCGCCCCAACACTTCAACACTATTTTATTTTTCTTATTAATATAAGAAGACAGTTGCCTTCTGAATCACTGGGGATATAGATCCTTACTTGTTAAATCTTTCCATTTCTTGTACTAACACAGTATTCATGCTTTCTTCATATCTCACAGGATACTTCCGTAGTGCCATTTCAATGTCGAAATCACTAGGGAGCTAAAAGAATAGATTTTGAAGATCACAAATTATTCTCAGAATGGATAATTAGCTTAATTCAGCCATTATATAATAATAGCTAATACTAGGGTGTATATGTACATTAGCTCATAACGTACAGTAATGTATATAAGTCCTATGTACCTTAGCTCATCCACAACCACAGTTACTAAGAACTTACTATATGCCAGGCATTTTATAAGCCACTTTAAATTCATGATGTCTTTAATGTTCTCAAAAAACTTAAAAAAATTGGTAGTATTATCACCATTTAACGGATTTGGAGGCTAATGCTTAGAGAGGCAAAGTTCTTGCTCAAGATCATAATGCTAGTACATGGAGTTTTCAGATTGTCATTTCAGTATCATTTTTATTTATATTATAAGTAACATATTTTAAGCTGAACATTACCTTGTTGAGGATATCTTTGGTAATTTCTAACAGAATCTGATCAGTACTTCCTGAGGCTCCTGTCTGTTTGGAGCCTCCCTGGGTGAGGAGCAAGGACTCAAAGAGGGTTTTTGTTTGTTGAAGATCCTTGGAGATGTCAACGTTTTCATGTAATCCAAATATCTCAGGGTGTTGAGTAAATGGAAGTTTCTACCAGAAAACAAATTAAGCATGCATCATATTTTCCCTGGATACTGAAAGGGATGATCAGGATACGCTACTCCAAAATATGCTACTTTGGCATAGGGGTTATGTGAGTTGAAGCCAATTAATAATTAACAGATACAGAAAGAGGTCTCTGCCCTCCCCTTATCTGTCTAAAAGTAGGGCATCAATTTCCATTTTTGACTTGTAGCATACATTTCCTCTTTCTTGTACCAGGATGAAGAGAATGACCCTTCTCACTGGAGACAGAACTGGCACTGAGATGAGTCTGTATAAACAGACCTCAGTCAAAATAATCCTTATCTTCCACTAGTTTCCCCCATATGTTTCCTAATCACTTTCCCACAATGTATTGCCCCTAGAACTCTAAACCCCCTTTCCTTTATCTAGTCATGTCTCTACAATTTATCACCCTCTGTTAAAATGGTAAATATGCCCAAGTACAACTGCATCGTTTGGTTTTCACTCCTTTTCTGCAAAGCTCATGTGCACAGAAAAATGTTAATATCCATACAAACTATACTGCCTCTTCTCCTGCTAATTTGTTTTTTGTCAGTTTGATTGGCAGGCCCCTGGCACTGAGCCTAAGAGGGTAAAGTTTTTCCTTTCCTACAATACATGAATTCATAAGGCAGACATGTGCAGACCAAAAAAGGGTTAAAAATCAACATCAAATAATGGAATACTCAAACTTTTCTAATTTTCAGTAATTACTAGAAAAAGATTATTAAAAGTTGATTAAAACCATAATATTTGTCTAAACCTATACATTAGAGAAGAACATTTCACCATTTGCTGTTAGAAAAATCACACATTAATCTAACCTTATTTTTGGTGACATCATTACCTTAATGAATTCAATGTAGTCCTCATAAGTGCCTTTAGGAGGTGCAAAATAGTTTCCACTGGGAGAAAACTTATAATGAGGGTTTTCAACTATGTACAGATTATAAAAGTCAGCCAGCATGGTTAATAGAAGACGTCTGTCCCAATCGTCTGTCACTCTTCCTCCATAATTACACTCCCCAGTCAGGTAAGATATAGCTTCAAATGGAATTGTATCATATTCATTGATAAATAACTGAAGCAAAGGAAAAATGAAACAAGAAAAACCTTAAAGTATTTCACTTCATTTCCATTTTAAGTATGTATCTATCTATCTAGAAAGGGGGTTGAAAGAATTATCATGAGTTGTCTTTCGGTAGCTGAGATTGTTAGTTTTTTTTTGGACAGTCTCGCTCTGTCGCCCAGGCTGGAGTGCAGAGGCATGATTTCAGCTCACTGCAACCTCCGCCTCCCAGGTTCAAGCGATTCTCCTGCCTCAGCCTCCCAGGTAGCTGGGATTACAGGAGTGTGCCACCACGCCCAGCTAATTTTTTGTATTTTTAGTAGAGACAGGGTTTCACCATGTTGGCCAGACTGGTCTTGAACTCCTGACCTCAGGTGATCCACCCAACTCAGCCTCCCAAAGTGCTGGGATTACAGGCGTGAGCCACTGCAGCTGGCTGATAGTATTTTATCTTAAATTGCTTGTCTGTGTCTCTAATTTTTTCTGAAATAAAGACATATTGCTTCTGTAATGAGAAAAACATTTAATAAAAAAAGACGACATGGAAATTACCAAGTATTTTTCATATGAATGTGGATAAACCTTGTTTTATGGCACTAGCTATCAACTGGGGTTTTGTCCCCCAGGTTACATTTGGCAATGTCTGGAGATAACTTAGATGGTCACAACTGTGGTGGGGGCTGGGGTGTTACTGGCATCTATTGGGTAGAAGCCTGGGCTGCTGCTAGACAATACACAGGAGAGCTGCCCACAGCAAAGAACTATCTGGCCCAAAATGCCAATCATGCTAAGGCTGAGAACCAGGTGCCTGGTTTAGGAGACTTTTCACAATGTGATTAAAAACAAAGCAATTTCAAACTTTAGTGCAACAGCATAAATCACACACTATGACACAGTTCCACTGGCAATACATATCATTTCTAGTTTCCTTATTATTGTTGTAATAATAGTAATAAAAACTATCATTTGCATAGTTTTTATATTGTCTTATTCGCCTCTCAATAACTCTGCAGAGTAGGAAACAGTCTAGTAAATGTGAAGTAATATGAAGGCCTGAATTTATTTCTTCCAGTTCCAGATCCCATACTTGTTCTAATATACAGGAATTTTTGATAGTATGTGTATTGGGATGGTATAAGTTGTGGGTTGAGAGCTTTTCCTGCCCCTGAAGTTTACTTAATTATGCACAGTTGAGAAAAAAATAATTCTAAATTCTCTAGAACCAAGTTGAAAGAAGGCTTAATCCTTTAAGACTCCCACGTTTTGAAGAGGAAGAGAGGCGTCAAGAGATATGAAAGGGGACTGAGAAAGAGGGAAGGTCGTCGTTTTGGGAAATGAATTATTTGCAAAAAGAGTAAAGTTTTTCCATGTCTCTTCTTTGGGGGAGGGGAAGGGTGTGTTCAACTGGGTTCCTTCCCCTCCCAAAGCTGAAGGAAGAGACTTCACGAGAATGTAATGTTAAATTTGTGGCATATGCAAGAAGTGGAGACCAACAGCTCATTCTCTGGCTGTCTTTCCACTTAGCCCCATCAGTTTTCTGATTTGCCTTTTGGAGAGAGGCAGCCTGCTCATACCAGGTGAAGATGGCTTAAGGATTAATCCTCAATCATCTTTCCAGTTTCTGAAGAAATGAAACACGGATCCAGCCAATGCTGGCAGTTTCCAATGTTGGGGCTAGAAAGGTTGATGACATCAGAAGCTGTAGGCTGGGGCTTGGCCAGAAGATGATTGATTATATGCAGTATGATGGTTTTGGCAAAATGTTCTCCAAGCTTAGGCTGTACCAACTAAATTGGTCTCGAAAACCAATGTTTAAAATCAACGTCATTTCATCATGCAGTTACAATTCCATAGGCACCAATCTCAACAACTGTTACAAGGATTTTCAAATGGACATATTTATTCCAGTTAAGGTTTCTGCCCTGATATTTTTTAAAGACTCGATAAAATATCAACTATTTCTATACAAATTATGTGTTAACAATTTTTATTTTAAAGGTTGGTGTAAATATGATTAAATGCTTATAGCCTTACAAAAACCTACCTGACTGAAATCTAATAGCACCAATTAATTAGACTTTATCAATGCTTCTCTTTTCACTTCATTAGGTCCTATTTCAAAAAGGCCCCTCAGAACAGCAAAAGAGCAGAAAAATATTAATATTCTGTGTTTGTGTGAAAGGCCAGCTACTCACTTTCCCAAGCTCCCTTACAGCTAAAGCCTACGCCTGTGACCTGGGCTTGGCTACTCAGATGCGTCCACCTTAAACTAAGTAGGGGATTAATGTACAGAGAAGCAAGAACAGACCACCTATGGTGGCTCATGCCTGTAACCCAGCTTGAGACCAGGAGTTTGACACCAGCCTGGACAACGTAGCAAGACCCTGTCTCTACAAAATACGTTTAAAAAAAACAACAACAAACTTACAAGGGGCCGGGCATAGTGGCTCACACCTGTAATCTCAGCATTTTGGGAGGTGAGGCAGGTGGATTGCCTGAGCTCAGGAGTTTGAGACAAGCCTGAACAACAAGGTAAAACCCCATTTCTACTAAAAAATACAAAAAGTTAGCCAAGCACAGTGGCACACAACTGTAGTCCAAGCTACTTGGGAGGCTGAGGCATAAGAATAGCTTGAACTGGGAGGCACAGCTTGCAGTAAGCAGAGATCATGCCACTGCACTCCAGCCTGGGTGACAGAGTGAAACTCTGTTTCCAAACTTATCTGGGCATGGTGGCATGTGCCTGTAGTCCCAGTTACTCCAGAGGCTGAGGCAGGAGGATTGCTTGAACTCAGGAGTTCAAGGCTGTAGTGAGCTATGATTGCATCACTGCACTGTAGCCTGGGCAACACAGCGAGACCCCATCTCAAAAAAAATTAGTAACAGCAAAGAATCTCTTTGAATGTGGTCACGACAGCAGAGGCCTGCAATAGACTAGAGTCTATGTGGCAGCCATACAAGCTCTGGGGTCTAATATTCAACAAGGGTAGAGATGCTGCCTTATCAGACACAGAGTGATTTTGGATTTGACTCTGGATGCCTCTTCTCTGAGCTTGACTCTCCAGCTGTCTTGGTGATACTTTGAGCTACCCAATATCCTTTCAATAAATTATTTTTCTGCTGAAAGTAGACAAGCTGTTTCTGTTGATTGATAGAGCTAAGCTGTAGACTTGACCAAGTGGAGGAAAGTAGAGGATAGTGGGGACATATGTTAAGCCAACACTGACAATGGCACTGCACAAAGACAAAGAACCAGGGTCCTCGATGACAACACTGTGATGTTGCCGAATCAACCAAACCCAGAGTGTGTCCTTCTGCACCTCTTTATTATGTGAGTAATGAGTTTCATTGTGGTTTAAGCCAGTTTGAATCAGATTTCCCATTACTTGCAGCACAAAGAATCCAGATGGAGATAGTGCTTCATAAGCCATAGTTATTACCATCTACCCACCTGTTAGTGTTGGGAGAAGTGAATCAGCTATTCCAAGCAAAAGACTTGCCTAGGGCCTGATAAATAGTGATCCTTCATGAATGTTAATTTCTTGTTAATTTTACCTGCAGTTGTCGGATACTGATGCGCAAGTCAGATTCATTAAATCCATATGGAATATTCCAACCAAGAGGACCAAATTTCTTTCTCTCTTGCACAAGGGCATGAAAAAAACAAACTCCAAACAGTAACTTCTCCCAGGCCTTTAATATAAAAAGTACATAACAAGAAAAAAAATTCCGGTCAGATTCCATCAGTAAAATGAGAGGAATAGATAAATGATCTTTCTCACAAGATTCTGTGATCACGTATCTCTACAAACTTCTATTTTAAAAAAATCCTATCTAAAATAATACTTACTATAAATAGTATTCATCTTATGATTTAATTCAAATCTCCAAATCTGGACAAACCATAGTAATATTAAGCCTTGTTAAAATGCAAAAACGTTATCATTTTACCAAAGTATTGACTAATAATACTTTGGTATTACTCGCAGAGATTTACAACTTCAATACTTAAATGTTATTCTGTAAACTTGCTGGCATATGCTTGAGACTGTAAGTGCAGGGGAATGATTAACCATTATGATATGAATAAATCCCAATATGTCATTCATGACTTTGTGACTTTCCATTTGAAAATCATTTTTGAAACCATTGTTTATTTGATCTGCTTTGTGGCATCCCCGTGTCTGTGATATGCATGTCACATGGGCTTCTCAAGAAATCTGTGTCAGTGTTCCAGAGGATGGTCGCCCAAGTCTTTAAGGTCCCCCCCAAGTAAATTTCAAGTATGATACACAGCATGTATTTTAATTTAGAATATTTCAAACATAGCTCCAAATCCAGTGAAAATCCATCCAGCTATTTTCATATAATGCAGTAGTAGACATTATTCTTCAATATTAAAATGCAAGTACACTATGCTTTACTGAGTAGATACGTTTTTGAAATGTTCTAAGTACATCAAAGCATATTTTAAACATACTAGATGAATGCTGTGGTGAAACATTTCATAGGGGAAGAACCTTTAGCAATAAGAGCAATGATCTAATTTACATGTATTTTCTACATATTTTTAAATAGTGGGTTTTCTTAAGGCAGGAACCATCCTTAAAATTCTGGAAAACTGAATGATCACATTTGTTTCTGTCTTTGGACTCTATCTAGACTGGGTTCCTCCAAAAGTAGACCTTGAGAGAAAGATGCGGGTGAAGGTGGGTGTATGGGAGAAGTGATCCCAGGAAGCAGGAAAGGAGTAGGGAAAGGGAGGCAGAGAAAGAGGAAAAGTATCAGGAAGAATTATGGAAGTTGTTGCTGTGATGAGGACTCAGTTCTGCTGGGACAAGTGGTCTCTGAATAGTTGAAGGTTGCCCCTGGGGTTGATAATTTCTCCACATTTTTGGTCTATGCTTGTGTGTCTACAGGCGAAGAAGGCTCCTGTTGCATCAGAGAAATCTCGAGGAAAGAAAACAGAAAGATGCATACTTGAGATAAGGTGCTGTAGCCTATGAAGAGTCTGAACTCACAAAGAACTATCTTCTACAATTGTGGCTGAAATTAGATATGGACCGAAGAGCTGTGACAAAGGACGTCAGAGTAGTTTGCCACAGTCCTGTTATCTAGATATTCTAAAAACTAGATATTCTTTAAAAAACTTTTAAACATTAAAACATACTTTCTTAAAAAATAACCCCTTCCCCTTTTTTTTTTTTGCTTGTTTTTGACTAAGCCAAGGGGGCAGTAGGATGCTGTCTTCTCTGCCTAAAGATGATACCACTGACCTGCCATCAGTGAGGGTATGCATTTTAGTTTGTTTTCTATGACATGATGCTGTTTTGTGTTGACTCATTCAAACTCCTTAGCAAGGCATGTAAAGACTTCCAGTCTTGACCCAATATTCCTTCCCATTCTTATTTCCTACCAGTTTAGCCAAAATGAGGTCCTTATTGCTCTTTCAACAACCTTGTCATAATAGTTGTGCATATTAAACATACTTCTTGTGCCTACTTCAAATATCATTTCTTCCATGAAGCTTTTTTTCAACTCAGCCAAGCAGAGTTAATCACACACAAATGGAAAGAGTCAGATGTCCTGGGTGCCAAATCCCACCTCCAACACTGGGCTGAGCTGTACGACTGATATCGTTTGGCTCTGTGTCCCCACCTAAATCTCAGCTCAATTTGTAATCCCCGCTTTTCAAGGGAGGGACCTATAATCCCTGCGTGTTGAGGGAGGGAGGTGACTCAATCATGGGGGCAGTTTCCCCCATACTGTTCTTGTGATAGTGAGTTCTCACGAGATCCGATGGTTTTATAAGTGTTTGGAAGTTCTTCCTTTGCTGTTCTCTCTCCTGCTGCCTTGTGAAGAAGGTGCTTGCTTCCCCCTCACCTTCCACCATGATTGTAAGTTTCCCGAGGCTTCCCCAGCCATGTGGAATTGTAAGTCAATTAAACCTCTTTCCTTTATAAATTACCCAGTCTCAGATATTTCTTTATAGCAGTGTAAGAACGGACTAATTCAATGACCTCAATAATTTATTTAATTCATTTGAGCCTCAGTTTCCTTATTTAACAAATAGATGTGTGCAAATGATACCTATATTAGAGGACTGTTGCAAGGCTTATATATTTAAACTAACTGAAATCTGCTGGTGGTCAATAAATGTTTGCCCCTTTCCTCCCTTCCTTTCTTTGTCCTCCCTTAGTTCATAACACTATCATGGCTGTTGCGTGCAGTTGAACATGCAAATTTGTTTGTTTACATCATACATGTTTTAATAATTTTCATTTTATTGTGGTAAAACATTTAACATGAAATCTACCATCTTAAATTTTTAAATGTACAATACAGTATTGTTAACTATAAGGACAATGTTGTACAGCTAATCTCCAGAATTTATTCACCTTGCATAATTGAGACACTATTCCCATTAATAAGCAACTCCCTATTTCCCCCTCCCACAGCCCCAGGTAACCACCTTCTGATTCTATGAGTTTGACTATTTTTGATACCCTATATAAGTGGAATCATACAGCATTTCTCTTTCTGTGACTGGCTTAGTTCACTTAGGATAATGTCTTCAAGTTTTATCCATGTTGTCATATATGGCAGTATTTTCTTCTTTTTAAGGCTGAATAATATTCTACGAATGGGCATTTAGGATGTTTCCACATACTGGCTATTGTGAATGGTGCTGCAATGAACACTGGCCTGCTAATATCTCTTAGAGATCCTGATTTCAATTTTTTTGGATACTCAGAAGTGAGACTGCTGGATCATATGTTCTGTTTTTAATTTTTTGAGAGTCTCCATACTGTTTTCCTTAATGGCTGCACCACTTTGCATTACCACCAACAGTGTATGAGGGCTCCAATTTTGTCCTTGCTAATACATGCTGGTTTTTGTTTTTTTGAAAATAGCCATCCCAGAAGGTATGAGATGATATCTCATTGTGGTTTTGATTTGCATTTCCCTGCTGACTACTGACATTGAGCATTTTTTCATATATCTGTTGGCCATTTGTATGTCTTCTTTGGAGAAATGTCTATTCAAACCTTTAGCCCATTTTTAATCTGGTTATTCTTTGTTTTCTGTTGTTGTTATTGAGGTGTTCCATATATATTTTGGAAATTAACTCCTTATCTAATATATGGTTTGCAAATAATTTCTCCCATTCCTTAGGTTGGCTTTTCACTTTGTTGATCATTTCCTTTGCTGTGCAGAAGCTTTTTAGTTTGGTTTGATCCCACTTTCTTTTTGTTGCCTGTGTTTTGGTGTCATATCTATGAAATTATTGCTAAGATCAATGTCGTGAAGCTTTCCTTCTAAGTGTTCTTCCGTAAGTTTTACAGTTTCAAATCTTACATGTAAGTCTTTAATCCATTTTGAGTTGATTTTTATGTATAGTGTAAGATAGGAGTTAAATTTCATTCTTTTGCATGTGGATATGCAGTTTTCTCAATACCAGTTGTTGAAGAGACTATACTTCTCCCATTGTATATTCTTGGCACCTTTGTCAAAGATCAGTTGACCTTATATGTGTAGATTGATTTCTGAGCTCTCTATTCTTTTCCTCTGGTCTGTATGTCTGACTTTATACTAGTACAGGTTGAGCATCCTAAACCCCAAAACCCAAAATCCAAAATGCTCCAAAATCCAAAACTTTTTGAGTACCAACATGATGCTCAAAGGAAATGCTCATTAGAGCATTTCAGGTTTTGTATTTTTGTATTTGGAATGTTAACTGGTAAGTATAATGCAAATATTCCAAAATTAAAAAAAAAAATCCCAAGCATTCCAGATAAGGAATACTTAACCTGTACCATATTGTTTTAATCACTGTAGCTTTGTATTATATTTTGAAATCAGGAAGTAGCCTGATTTCAGAGAACAAAGCCTCTAGCTTTGTTTTTTCTCAACATTGGTTTGGCCATTTAAGATCTTTTGTGGTTCTATATGAATTTTAGAGTTTTTAAGATTGGGATTTTGATAGGGATTGCTAAATTAAATCTGTAGATCACTTTGGTTAGTTTGCACATTTTAATAATTTAAGTCTTCCAATCCATGAACATGGGATATTTTTCCATGTTCATGTCTTCTTTAACTTATTGCATCAATGTTTTGTAGTTTTCAGTGTATATATCTTTCACCTCCTCAGTTGAATTTATTCCTAAGTATTTTATTGTTTTTGGTACTATTATAAATGGGATTGTTTTCCTAATTTCCATTTCAGATAGTTTGTTGTTGGTGTACAGAAATGCAACTAATTTTTATATGTTGATTTTGTACCCTAAACTTTACTGAATTCATTGATTAGCTCTGACAGGTTTTTCTTGTGTGGAGTTTTGTGGTTTTCTATATACATAAGATCACATCATCTGCAAACAAGGACAATTTTACTTCTTCTGGTTTGATTTGGATGCCTCCTGTTTCTTTTTCTTGCCTAATTGTTCAGTCTAGGACTTCCAGTCTATGTTGAACAGAAGTAGAAGGAGTGGGCTTCCATGCCTTCTTTCTGATCTTACAGGAAAAATTTTCAGTTTTTCCATGGTTGAGTATAATATAAGTTGTGGTATTTTCATATTGGCTTTTATTATGTTGAGGTAATTTTCTTCTATTCCTCGTTTGTTAAGAGTTGTTTTTTGGTTTTGTTTTGTTTCTTCCTGAGATGGAGTCTTGCTCTGTTGCCCAGGCTGGAGTGCAGTGGCACGATCTCAGCTCACTGCACCCTCCACCTCACAGGCTCAAGCAATTCTCCTGCCTCTTCCTGAGTAACTGGGATTATAGCCACATGCCACCACACCTTGCTAATTTTTTTTTTTTTTGTATTTTTAGTAGAGACAGGTTTCACCATGTTGGCTAGGCTGGTCTTGAACTCCTGACCTCAAGTGATCCTCCTACCTCAGTCTCCCAAAGTGACAGGATTACAGGCATGAGCCACCATGCCCAGCTGAGAGTTTATATTATAAAAAAGTGTTGAATTTTGTTGGATGCTTTTTCTGCATCTAGTGAGATGATCATGTGATTTTTATCTTTCTTCTGTTAATGTGTATTACATTAATTGATTTTTATAAGTTGAATCATTTTAGCATCCCAGGGGATAAATCCCACTTGGCCATGGTGTATATATATGATATGCTATATTTATGCTTGTTCTTGAGCCTTACTTCAAATTTAGTGAATCAGAATTCCAGAAGTAGGGCACTGACATCTGTAGCTTTAACAAGTCCCCCAGGTTTGTGGGGATTATGGTTGAGCTTGCTTTCCACAGGTTTCCTTTGACTAAAATGTCAGCTCCATAAAGACAGGAAATTTTTACATGTTTTTATATATGTTCATTGCCATATTACCAGTTCCTATAAGAATGTCTTGCACCTAGTAGGTACTCAATAAATATTTACTAAATAAATAAGTGAAGATACAGAAATGTATCCCTGCCCTTAAGGAGAATAAAGTGAGTACAGCAGGCAGATCTATAGACTCATAACGAATGTCTTATCATTGCTAGGTAATTCAAACGCCCAAGATATCAACAACCTGTGACTAAAAAGATCTTATTTACTTTTAATGGCCAAATGATGATAGTTCAAATTATTGCTGGCCTAATTGTCAGAAATTAGCCTTATCGAAAGGCATTCCAGCTATTTCTGGAAGCCTCAGTGGAATTTCAATATGTCTACAAACCAGTCACACCTGCAGAAACTGGAAGGCAATGGTTTTCAAAGTGTGATTCCAGAACCAGCCACATCAACATCACCAGGGAATTTGTTAGAACTATAAATTCTTAAGCCTCACCCCAGACCCACTGAATTAGAGACTCTGGGGATGGGACCCAGCAAGATGTGTTTGAACAAGCCCTCTAGGGGAATCGGATGCATACTGAGAACCCATGTCACAGGGCATTTACATTCTTTTACTTCTCTTACCCCAGCTTTCATTTGTTTGTACTACCAGAGAAGTTGCTTGGTGAAGCCTTACCTATTACCACTGTTCATCACAAAAATGATGATACATGGCAAGGATACTAACTTCAGATATCCCAACAAATCCCAATACTTACGGTGCCAGCGTAGCTTGCTCAATGTTGTAATACCCAAGGAGTGAGAATGCTTCTTCTCTAACTCAGCACCATTTTTATTTGAATAATCTGAGTCCCAAATTAGCTCTGCTTGAGCTTAGAATCTTTCAAAATTTCCCTTCTCTTTCTTGCCCTCGCTCTTCTAATTGCAGGAGCTCAAACTCTGGATGAGGATTAGACACCATACTATCTTCTCCATTCTACTAAGCTCTCTTTCTAAATAAAACCACAAAATATCCTCTCTTGTTCTAAGATTTGCAAACAAAATTATGGCGCAGAACTAGGGTACACAGAAAGTGTCATTAAGCAGAGGGAAAATACCTGACTTTCAAAGAATTTAGTTAATTTTACCTTCAATATCATTTTTTCTAGCTCAAACATGAAAATATGATAAATAGTACATGTTGGGGTGAGGGCAGGGGATGATTTTCTCACAGTAATGTTTCATGTGCCCAATTAATAATGTAACACGCTGGACTTTTCTCCATTCTTGTACTCACTTGCTGCAGGAGAGAGGAGTGACCTACCGGACTGGTAAACTTGGGGAAAATTAACCAGATATGCTCAGCCCAGCTTCTCCCTTTTCTTTCTTAGAAGTGAGCTTCTTACAGGGACCTGGGTTTTCCTTTACTCTTCTGGGTGGATAAATTTGCTTAATTTTAGGGCTCAGTAATATGAAACCCATTTGTTCACAGATATAAGCTATATCTTCCAATCTAGCCTATATCAATAATTAAGCCTATAATTTGGTTACCATACATTTATACTTTTCCCTGTTTCTCAATTGGTAAGAATTCAGGCAGGGAAATGAGTACTCTCTACTGGGACCCTTAAAGTCTCCAGTACTGTAAACAAAACTGTTTAAGGTGGATATACGAAAAAGCACTATTAATATGCTTAACATTATTACTAGAATCTAAGTTTCATAAAGGCAGATTTCTTTGTCTGTCTATTTTGTTCTCATTGCTTTATATCTACACTACCTAGGAGAGGGCCTGGCACACATACTTGTTGAAAAAGAATCAACAATGGGAAAATAGATTTCTACTCTCGGGTCCTAATCAAAAACATTACTGGGCTTTGGCTTACAAACTAAGATTCATTCATTCAACAAATATTTATTTCGATGTCTACTGTGTGGGAAGTGGAACACAAACTATATTGAATAAAATGGTGAACAAGATAAGTACAATTTTTGTCTTGTTAGGAAATGCGTAAAGTTTTAAAAACATTAAATAAAAATGTTACAAAAGCATTATTAAACAAAATTTTACACTTCCATATTTGATCACTATAAAACACATTTTAAAAGTTCCAAAAGATGAATATTACCAGTTCCTTTCCACGGCATCCCTTGAAAAACTCAGGATCAGAAACTGGATCAGTGAGATATGATTGAAGGAGATTCAGCCGAAGACCCGTGGGAGGTTCATTAGTCATTTTTACTCCATTCTGTAGAATTGTTACTGGGAACTAAGACAAAATAAATGGAGAGCATTATACAAGATAGCAAGTGGAGGCTCTAAAAGTGCATATACACGTGGATTAAAAAACAGGCATAATGGAGAACTCCAGAAATATTCAAAAAACCTCTTAAGGTTAAGCATCTGAGGCTTGATTAAGATATGCAGACAGCTGGCCAGGCGTGGTGGTGCATGCCTGAAATCCCAGCACTTTGGGAGGCTGAGGCGGGTGGATCACCTGAGGTCAGGAGTTCGAGACCAGGCTGGCTGACATGGTGAAACCCCATTTCTACTAAAAATACAAAAATTAGCCGAGCATGGTGGTATGCGCCTGTAATCCCAGCTACTGGGGAGGCTGAGGCAGGAGAATCGCTTGAACCCGGGAGGCGAAGTTTGCGGTGAGCCGAAATTGCGCCACTGCACTCCAGCCTGGGAGACAGAGTAAGACTCCGTCTCAAAACAAACAAACAAAACAAATAAGATATACAGATAGCTAAGTAAATGTACTTAACTCTATAAGGAAATAAACATACTTTTGAAGATGGATAGCTTGTCAGCCAAAGCCTAAAGGATGAGTTACAGGTTTCAGAGGTAAAATCTTCACATATTTTTTCCAACATGGGCATCCAGGACACTGCAAGATGGCAATTCTGTAGGCACACCCAAGTTCCTTCTTCAATTGCTGCTTTAATCATTTTTGCTGCAATCGGTCCTTGTCCCTGTCCCAGTGAAATAGCTTGAAACTTATTTCCAGACATAGATTTATCATTTGCAAATTTCAGCAGGCCTATAAGAGGCACAAAAAAATGGTCACACTACTTACTCTAAAATTATAAAAAAGTGCCTTATGTATAGGTGTTTTATCATGAAAAATTCTAGTTACGTTTCTCTGTAAATATCAGATTTACTAACTGATTTATAATCATATAAGGAATCAGTATTGAGCAAGATGTTTTATTTATGATTTCTTAAAAGTTTACAGTATATGCACTTACTGGCCATAGGATCTGCTCCTGGAGATAGAACAAAAATTAAGGGAATGGTGCAATTTGAATCCAAGTAACTCTTTGTCAAATCAAATGGTGGAGGCTCTACAAACTTTTTCCCTAGTTTGTCAGTTACATAGTTTGTTATAGCTGGGGTTATCTGTTGAAGAGAAAAGATATGATCTTTAGAGCAACTTTTATTTCACATAATGGATATGAATATTATTGAAAAACAACAAAGAATACAATTTGAGCCTAATGGTCAAAAAAAGCATATAGCATCATAGACAAAGCACTAATTTCTCTAAAAAATAAAAACTATATACATTTATAGGAGAAGACTATCCAAAAGATAAATGGGCAAAGGAGACAAACTGCTTAGAGAAAATCAAGTACAAATTGATCCTAAACATATGAGGGATGCTCAATGTCACTCATTATAGCAGAGATTGCATATTGTCCCACTTATTTGTCTCTGTTTGGTATTAGAACCCCAAGTTTTCCTGGCATTTCTTGCAGGTAATGTGGCCATGTGACTAAGTTTTGGCCAGAGAGATACAAGTAGAAATTACTTATGGATCTTCCAGATAATATTTTAAGGAAGCTATTTGCCTTCAACAATTTCTTCTCTTTTCAACATAGCGTTCACAAGCCAGCTTCCATTTTGCTGATGAGGACCACACTGTAAGCATGAAAGAACCTGAGTTTCTGGGTGATCTCAGGAGCAAGAGCTTCCCTGTCAGCCCTTCATCATTTGCCTCTGAGCTGTTAGGAGAGAGAGAAATTAACTTCTATTTGATTTAAGCCACTGTACTTTAGGTCCCTTTGTTACAGCAGCTTCATTTATACGCTAATACTCATAATAAGAAAAATACAAATTATAACTATACTTAGATACCATTTTTAACCTATTGAATTGTTATATAAATCAGCCAAAGATGGCCTGGGAGGCCATGATATCTTGATATTTGGTCAAATAGCAGTCTACACATGTTGCTGTGAAGGTATTTTTGGATGAGATTAATATTTAAATTAGTAGATATGGAGTAAGGCAGATTGCCCTCCACAATGTGGTGGGCCTCATACAATCAGTTGAAAGCCTTAAGAAAGAAAAAAGCCTGGGGGGAGGAGCCAAGATGGCCGAATAGGAACAGCTCCGGTCTACAGCTCCCAGCGTGAGCCACGCAGAAGAGGGGTGATTTCTGCATTTCCATCTGAGGTACTTGGTTCATCTCACTAGGGAGTGCCAGACAGTGGGCGCAGGTCAGTGGGTGCAGCGCACCATGCACAAGCCGAAGCAGGGCGAGGCATTGCCTCACTCGGGAAGCGCAAGGGGTCAGGGAGTTCCCTTTCCTAGTCAAAGAAAGGGGTGACGGATGACACCTGGAAAATTGGGTCACTCCCACCCAATACTGCGCTTTTCCGATGGGCTTAAAAAACGGCACACCAGGAGATTATATCCCCCACATGGCTCAGAGGGTCCTACGCCCATGAAGTCTCGCTGATTGCTAGCACAGCAGTCTGAGATCAAACTGCAAGGCGGCAGCGAGGCTGGGGAAGGGGCGCCCGCCATTGCCCAGGCTTGCTTAGGTAAACAAAGCAGCTGGAAAGCTCCAACTGGGTGGAACCCACCACAGCTCAAGGAGGCCTGCCTGCCTCTGTAGGCTCCACCTCTGGGGGCAGGGCACAGACAAACAAAAAGACAGCAGTAACCTCTGCAGACTTAAATGTCCCTGTCTGACAGCTTTGAAGAGAGCAGTGGTTCCCCCAGCACGCAGCTGGAGATCTGAGAACGGGCAGACTGCCTCCTCAAGTGGGTCCCTGACCTCTGACCCCTGAGCAGCCTAACTGGGAGGCACCCCCAAGTAGGGGCAAACTGACACCTCACACGGCTGGGTACTCCTCTGAGACAAAACTTGCAGAGGAACGATCAGATAGCAGCATTCGTGGTTCACGAAAAACCACTGTTCTGCAAACACCTCTGCTGATACCCAGGCAAACAGGGTCTGGAGTGGACCTCTAGCAAACTCCAACAGACCTGCAGCTGAGGGTCCTGTCTGTCAGAAGGAAAACTAAAACAGAAAGGACATCCACACCAAAAACCCATCTGTACATCACCATCATCAAAGACCAAAAGTAGATACAACCACAAAGATGGGGAAAAAACAGAGCAGAAAAACTGGAAACTCTAAAAAGCAGAGCACCTCTCCTCCTCCAAAGGATCACAGTTCCTCACCAGCAATGGAACAAAGCTGGACGGAGAGTGACTTTGACGAGTTGAGAGAAGAAGGCTTCAGACAATCAAACTACGAGCTACAGGAGGAAATTCAAACCAAAGGCAAAGAAGTTAAAAACTTTGAAAAAAATTTAGACAAATGTATAATTAGAACAACCAATACAGAGAAGTGCTTAAAGGAGCTGATGGAGCTGAAAGCCAAGGCACGAGAACTATGTGTAGAATGCAGAAGCCTCAGGAGCCGATGCGATCAGCTGGAAGAAAGGGTATCAGTGATGGAAGATGAAATGAAGCGAGAAGGGAAGTTTAGAGAAAAAAGAATAAAAAGAAACGAACAAAGCCTCCAAGAAATATGGGACTATGGGAAAAGACCAAATCTACGTCTGATTGGTGTACTTGAAAGTGACGGGGAGAATGGAACCAAGTTGGAAAACACTCTGCAGGATATTATCCAGGAGAACTTCCCCAATCTAGCAAGGCAGGCCAACATTCAGATTCAGGAAATACAGAGAATGCCACAAAGATACTCCTCGAGAAGAGCAACTCCAAGACACATAATTGTCAGATTCACCAAAGTTGAAATGAAGGAAAAAATGTTAAGGGCAGCCAGAGAGAAAGGTCGGGTTACCCACAAAGGGAAGCCCATCAGACTAACAGCTGAGCTCTCGGCAGAAACTCTACAAGCCAGAAGAGAGTGGGGGCCAATATTCAACATTCTTAAAGAAAAGAATTTTCAACCCAGAATTTCATATCCAGCCAAACTAAGCTTCAGAAGTGAAGGAGAAATAAAACACTTTACAGACAAACAAATGCTGAGCAATTTTGTCACCACCAGGCCTGCCCTAAAAGAGCTCCTGAAGGAAGCACTAAACATGGAAAGGAACAACCAGTACCAGCCGCTGCAAAATCATGCCAAAATGTAAAGACCATGGAGACTAGGAAGAAACTGCATCAAGTAATGAGCAAAATAACCAGCTAACATCATAATGACAGGTTCATATTCACACATAACAATATTAACTTTAAATGTAAATGGACTAAATGCTCCAATTAAAAGACACAGACTGGCAAATTGGATAAAGAGTCAAGACCCATCAGTGTGTTGTATTCAGGAAACCCATCTCATGTGCAGAGACACACATAGGCTCAAAATAAAAGGATGGAGGAAGATCTGCCAAGCAAATGGAAAACAAAAAAAGGCAGGGGTTCCAATCCTGGTCTCTGATAAAACAGACTTTAAACCAACAAAGATCAAAAGAGACAAAGAAGGCTATTACATAATGGTAAAGGGATCAATTCAACAAGAAGAGCTAACTATCCTAAATATATATGCACCCAATACAGGAGCACCCAGATTCATAAAGCAAGTCCTGAGTGACCTACAAAGAGACTTAGACTCCCACACAATAATAATGGGAGACTTTAACACCCCACTGTCAACATTAGACAGATCAACGAGACAGAAAGTCAACAAGGATACCCAGGAGTTGAACTCAGCTCTGCACCAATGGACCTAATAGACATCTACAGAACTCGCCACCCCAAATCAACAGAATATACATTTTTTTCAGCACCACACTACACCTATTCCAAAATTGACCACATAGTTGGAAGTAAAGCTCTCCTCAGCAAATGTAAAAGAACAGAAATTATAACAAACTATCTCTCAGACCACAGTGCAATCAAACTAGAACTCAGGATTCAGAAACTCACTCAAAACCGCTCAACTACATGGAAACTGAACAACCTGCTCCTGAATGACTACTGGGTACATAGCGAAATGAAGGCAGAAATAAAGATGTTCTTTGAAACCAACGAGAACAAAGACACAATATACCAGAATCTCTGGGACACATTCAAAGCAGTGTGTAAAGGGAAATTTATAGCACTAAATGCCCACAAGAGAAAGCAGGAAAGATCTAAAATTGACACCCTAACATCACAATTAAAAGAACTAGAAAAGCAAGAGCAAACACATTCAAAAGCTAGCAGAAGGCAAGAAATAACTAAAACCAGAGCAGAACTGAAGGAAATAGAGACACAAAAAACCCTTCAAAAAATTAATGAATCCAGGAGCTGGTTTTTTGAAAGGATCAACAAAATTGATAGACCGCTAGCAAGACTAATAAAGAAAAAAAAGAGAGAAGAATCAAATAGATGCAATAAAAAATGATAAAGGGGATATCACCACTGATCCAACAGAAATACAAACTACCATCAGAGAATACTACAAACACCTCTACACAAATAAACTAGAAAATCTAGAAGAAATGGATAAATTCCTCGACACATACACTCTCCCAAGACTAAACCAGGAAGAAGTTGAATCTCTGAATAGACCAACAACAGGATCTGAAATTGTGGCAATAATCAATAGCTTACCAACCAAAAAGAGTCCAGGACCAGATGGATTCACAGCCGAATTCTACCAGAGGTACAAGGAGGAACTGGTACCATTCCTTCTGAAACTATTCCAATCAATAGAAAAAGAGGGAATCCTCCCTAACTCATTTTATGAGGCCAGCATCATCCTGATACCAAAGCCTGGCAGAGACACAACCAAAAAAGAGAATTTAGACCAATATCCTTGATGAACATTGATGCAAAAATCCTCAATAAAATACTGGCAAACTGAATCCAGCAGCACATCAAAAAGCTTATCCACCATGATCAAGTGGGCTTCATCCCTGGGATGCAAGGCTGGTTCAATATACTCAAATCAATAAATGTAATCCAGCATATAAACAGAACCAAAGACAAAAACCACATGATTATCTCAATAGATGCAGAAAAGGCCTTTGACAAAATTCAACAACCCTTCATGCTAAAAACTCTCAATAAATTAGGTATTGATGGGATGTATCTGAAAATAATAACAGCTATCCATGACAAACCCACAGCCAATATCATACTGAATGGGCAAAAACTGGAAGCATTCCCTTTGAAAACTGGCACAAGACAGGGATGCCCTCTCTCACCACTCCTATTCAACATAGTGTTGGAAGTTCTGGCCAGGGCAATTAGGCAGGAGAAGGAAATAAAGGGTATTCAATTAGGAAAAGAGGAAGTCAAATTGTCCCTGTTTGCAGATGACATGATTATATATCTAGAAAACCCCATTGTCTCAGCCCAAAATCTCCTTAAGCTGATAAGCAAATTCAGCAAAGTCTCAGGATACAAAATCAATGTACAAAAATCACAAGCATTCTTATACACCAATAACAGACAAACAGAGAGCCAAATCATGAGTGAACTCCCATTCACAATTGCTTCAAAGGGAATAAAATACCTAGGAATCCACCTTACAAGGGACGTGAAGGACCTCTTCAAGGAGAACTACAAACCACTGCTCAATGAAATTAAAGAGGATACAAACAAATGGAGGAACATTCCATGCTCATGGGTAGGAAGAATCAATATTGTGAAAATGGCCATACTGCCCAAGGTAATTTATAGATTCAATGCCATCCCCATCAAGCTACCAATGCCTTTCTTCACAGAATTGGGAAAAACTACTTTAAAGTTCATATGGAACCAAAAAAGAGCCTGCATTGCCAAGTCAATCCTAAGCCAAAAGAACAAAGCTGGAGGCATCACACTACCTGACTTCAAACTATACTACAAGGCTACAGTAACAAAAACAGCATGGTACTGGTACCAAAACAGAGATATAGATCAATGGAACAGAACAGAGCCCTCAGAAATAACGCCACATATCTACAACTATCTGATCTTTGACAAACCTGAGAAAAACAAGCAATGGGGAAAGGATTCCCTATTTAATAAATGGTGCTGGGAAAACTGGCTAGCCATATGTAGAAAGCTGAAACTGGATCCCTTCCTTACACCTTATACAAAAATCAATTCAAGATGGATTAAAGACTTAAACGTTAGACCTAAAACCATAAAAACCCTAGAAGAAAACCTAGGCATTACCATTCAGGACATAGGCATGGTCAAGGACTTCATGTCTAAAACACCAAAAACAATGGCAACAAAAGCCAAAATTGACAAATGGGATCTAATTAAACTAAAGAGCTTCTGCACAGCAAAAGAAACTACCATCAGAGTGAACAGGCAACCCACAAAATGGGAGAAAATTTTCGCAACCTACTTATCTGACAAAAGGCTAATATCCAGAATCTACAATGAACTCAAACAAATTTACAAGAAGAAAACAAACAACCCCATCCAAAAGTGGGCAAAGGACATGAACAGACACTTCTCAAAAGAAGACATTTATGCAGCCAAAAAACACATGAAAAAATGCTCACCATCACTGGCCATCAGAGAAATGCAAATCAAAACCACAATGAGATATCATCTCATACCAGTTAGAATGGCAATCATTAAAAAGTCAGGAAACAACAGGTGCTGGAGAGGATGTGGAGAAATAGGAACACTTTTACACTGTTGGTGGGACTGTAAACTAGTTCAACCATTGTGGAAGTCAGTATGGTGATTCCTCAGGGATCTAGAACTAGAAATACCATTTGACCCAGCCATCCCATTACTGGGTATATACCCAAAGGACTATAAATCATGCTGCTATAAAGACACATGCACACGTATGTTTATTGCGGCACTATTCACAATAGCAAAGACTTGGAACCAACCCAAATGTCCAACAATGATAGACTGGATTAAGAAAATGTGGCACATATACACCATAGAATACTATGCAGCCATAAAAAAGGATGAGTTCATGTCCTTTGTAGGGACATGGATGAAGCTGGAAACCATCATTCTCAGCAAACAATTGCAAGGACAAAAAACCAAACACTGCATATTCTCACTCATAGGTGGGAATCGAACAGTGAGAACACATGGACACAGGAGGGGGAACATCACACTCTGGGGACTGTTGTGGGGTGGGGGGAGGGGGGAAGGATAGCATTGGGAGATATACCTAATGCCAGATGATGAGTTAGTGGGTGCAGTGCACCAGCATGTCACATGTATACATATGTAACTAACCTGCACATTGTGCACATGTACCCTAAAACTTAAAGTATAATAATTAAAAAAAAAAAAAAAAGAAAAATGCCTGATTTCCCCTGAGGAAGAGGACCTTTTGCCAGCAAACTGCCTTTGGACTTGAGCTGCAACATCAACTCCTCCTTGAGTTTCCAGCCTGCCAGCTTACCATGCAGATTCACCAGCTTCCACAATCACACCAGCCAATTCCTTTCAGAAAATCAATCAATCAATCAATCAATTCCCCTCCCCTGTTGTTTTATTTCTCTGGAGAACAGAGGGAAACAAGTAGAAGGCCTGAATAATATAGGCTTTAATTCCATTTAGTTTAACTCAATTCAATTCAACTTAATTCATAGACATTTGTTGAGCTTCTACCATCTGTCAGACATTGCTCTAAATCCTGGCGATACAGAGGAAAATAACACATGAATCTTGACCTCAAGAAGCTCACAGTCTAGTGGGAGACCCTAAAAAGTAAGCAGACAATTATTGTACATTCTAATGGGGTAAGGGCTATGGTATATAAGCACAGGCTTCCAAACACGGCAGACAAAGCAAAAACCCTACATGTGGTATTGAAACAATATCTCTACTGCCCATCAGGGGAGCCATTCTGTAAAGTGCAAATAGGCAGGTGTTCCCAGATACATAGCTATTAAGTCTTCGTCATGAACAAGGGAGGCTACTGGTGATAAAATAATGAATAAACCATTATTTAGGGGTTCCAGGGACTTAAAGTGACTCTCTAGTTAGAGTCACTGTGTATGTCTATACACAGACACATATGCACACACAACTATCAGGCAAGAATGAGATGAATATTAACCAAGTACAAAGGTCTTTGGGAATCAGGGTAAGGAGTAAAACATTTATGTAGGCCTCTGTTTAAATCTACCCAGAGACAGAGCATTAGATAATGTTCCTTGTGAGACTTTACTAAAACGGTAAAATTTTTTTCTTTTAAAAAAAGAAGGAAGAAACGAAGGGACTATTGCAATCACTTTCAAAACCTTCATATTTTTCATGGTGTAGGTGAAGTGACTTACTGGTAAAGATTCTTTCCTCAAACAAACCTTAGTTAGACAGGCTCCTCTGAACCCCTTTTTCTATGAGGCCTTGTCTTCAAGAGCCCAGTTGTAGCAAGAACCCTGCTAGCCAGTTTAGTGAGAGTCCCCTACCCTCTACATCTGATCGCCCTCCATATCTGATCAAATTCCTCATACCCTGCCATCTCCCAGGTGGTATCTCATCACCCTGGCCTGCTTTCAGCAAGAATTTTGTTAGGTCAGGGTAGCAAGAATTCCCCCTACCCTTGGTGTCTCTTCTTAGTAATTTCCCCCCACCCTGCTCCTTGACTATAAATCCCCAACTGTCTCTGCTGTATTTCGAACTAAGCCTGAGCTCTCTTTCCTACTGTGATAGTCTTGAACAAAGTCTTCCTTACTGCTTTAACATTTGTCATGAATAATTTTTTAACATTACTCAAAGTTTAAACTAGATGTATGAACATGGTTTCTTGTTTTCTTTCTATTACAAAATTATCCCTTTGTAATACTATGATCACCTTTCTTAAATTTGTGAAAATTGGTGTCAGCCTACTTATCTTACCTTTAGAAAGATTTCTGTGCATGTTTGAACTAATAAAATTGTGACATGTACAAAATTTTCTGCCATCTTCTACTTTTAGCTATGATGTGGTTATAGGGATTGGATTTACCCTACTACCACAAACAATTTAAAAAACAGGCACAATTAATGAAACCACCATTTTTGCACAGGGGGCAATAGGTGGTATAGGACTGTGATCACTGAGAAAAAGAAAACAAACTGAACGCTATTCTCTCAGCTTTCTTCTTGGAGGTATGCTAGACTGTGGAACAGCGAGAGTGATTAAGGCAGAGCAATGCAGTGTCACTGAGTTGCAAAAACAAGAAAAAGACTACAAAGGGGCCAAGGCTGCTGGAAGTTGCAGAGTTCTAATTAGGATAGAACTGTCCAGGCAGAGTTCAGAAATCTGCTCACAGTACCTCTGAATCCTTGCTGAACACTATGGTGTGTATGCATGAGACCAAGAAAAGAGCATCTGAGGTGCTGTAACCAGGAGATCTGGGGAGCTACCACTGTTCATGAAGGCTGGGACTCATTCAGGTTCCCAAAAGCCATAGAGAGTCCTTAGTGATCGCTTGGAGCATTCAGTAAAGGCCCCAGACGGGTGGCACTTTGGTAGAGCTAAATAATGCATTGAATAAAGGCTATTCTAGACCATCCTAACAAATCTTAAACAATATTTGAAAGGAACAATTCAAACTTCAGTAATTTAACTACATAACCACAGAAGTTGATAAACGTTCTGTAGAGGGCCAGATAAGAAATATTTTAGGCTTTGTGGGACATATACAGTTTCTGTTGCATGTTCTTTTTTATTTTATTATTATTTTTTATGAGACAGAGTCTCACTCTGCCACCCAGGCTGGAGTGCAGTGGTTCGATCTTGGCTCACTGCAACCTCTGCCTCCCAGGTTGAAGTGATTCTCTTGCCTCAGCTTCCCGAGCTCGAACTCCTGACCTAGCGATCCACCCACCTCAGCCTCCCAAAGTACTGGGATTATAGGCATGAGCCACCGTGCCCGGATACATGTTCTTTTTAAGGCAACTTTTTTTTTTTTTTTTTTTTAGATGGAGTCTCGCTCTGTCACCCAGGCTGTAGCGCAGTGGTGCGATCTCTGCTCATTGCAACCTCCGCCTCTCCAGTTCAAACAATTCTCCTTCCTCAACCTCCTGAATAGCTGGGACTACAGGCATGCACCACCATGCCTGGCTAATTTTTGTATTTTTAGTAGTGACAGGGTTTCACCATCTTGGCCAGGCTGGTCTTGAACTCCTGACCTCAAGTGATCTGTCCTCCTCGGCCTCCCAAAGGCCAGGATTACAGGCATGAGCTACTGTGCCCAGTCAAAACTACTCTTTTTAAAAATATAAAAAACATTCTTAGTTCATGGGATGGACCAAAGACATCGTGGGGCTGGATTTGGCCCACAGGTGTTTGTTGACCCCTGAACTAGCAGGACAGAACTCAACAATCTTTATAGGAAAATGAAATCTAACTCATCAACAATGTGATATTCACAATGTCCAGTATCCAATCAGACATTATTAGACATGCCAAAAAGCAGGAAATTATCATGTATAACTAAAAGTAAAATCAGTCAATAGAAACAGATCCAGAAATGATGGAATTAGTAGTCACTAATTTTAAAACAGTTATTATAACTGTGTTCAACTATTTAAAAGAAAATATTAGCAGATTAAAAAGAGAAATAGGATACACAAAAAGAACCAAACAAATTTTTTAGAGATGAAATACACAATTACTAAAATTAAAATGGGAAAGGGATTTGTAGCAGATTAGACAATACAAAAGAAGAAATCAACAAATGTAAAGATAGCAACAGAAACTACCCAAACTGATGCAAGGAGATACCACGGCTTAAAAAATAATTAACAAAGTATCAATTACATTATATTACATTAGCATCACATTAGGCAATCTAATATATGTGCAACTGAAATCCTGGGTGGGGTGAAATAATATTTGAAGAAATAATAACCAAAAATATTCCTAAATTGAGGAAAACAGTAAACCCACAGATCTAAATCCAAAGAGCTCAATGAACTGTAAGCTGGATAATCAATCTGAGAGTTAAAGAATCAAATAACAAGAACTTTAAGCCTAGCACTTCATAAATGGCAAATTATCTGGGTTCCAAATAGAACACATTGGTCTTTTACCTTATCAGGTCTTAAACACCGAAGAATTATTATTTTCTGTAGTTCATTTAGGTTCTTATCCATTGGTGCTGGAAATTTAGCATTATGTGGCTCTTTACTGTCATAGATTTCTCGCCATTCATATATATGTTCACAAAAATGTTGCCTAATAGAAAAAAGCTTAAGAATTATTCTTTTTATTGGGAAAAACTTAAAAGAGATTGTTGAACAAGGAGTAGAAACCAGACAGCTATTTAAAACCATTTAAAAATCACTAAATTGAAGAACAAGTTTACATATTGCCATTCAATGATAAATCATCGAATTTAAACAATCACCTGAGTCCTCTGAAGGCAGGAAATTCACTTGCCCGACAGATTTCCTCCCAGCTTTTGTCCTGTAGCCAAGTTGGATCAGGATTTTTCTCAGCACTTTTAAGACTTACTCCTCCAGTTAAAAGAAACATCAGTTCCTGGTATTCAATCTCTTTCCTTGCCCTGTATTCCCAAAATAAGGACTGTTATATAATTGTTGATTTTAAAATTGAATGATGTCAACTTCCGCTTTTGTAACCTGGATAGAACAACTTAGACTGTACTTACCCACCTGCTGTAAACAACTAGAAAACTGGACAAAATTAATGAAACAACTGTTTTTTTGAAATTGTTCAATAGCCAGTGCAGGACTGTGGCCTCTGAGAGAAGAGAGGTGAATAAGGTGATCCCCGTTCCTCAGCAGGCTGCCTGGCACTTTCTAGACTACAGAGCAGGGAGGTGTGATCAGAATCAGAGCTCTGCAGTATTGCTGAATTGAGGAAACCGGCATTAAGTTCTCCTCAACAGTATTGCTGAGTTGAGGACATCAGCATTAGGGAAAGCTTAGGTGACTGGAGTTTGTGAGCAGAGGAGGAAGATGAATGGAAAAGGTGAATGAATGTCTTAAAAATCTACAGAGGTGCTCTCTTGGTTCTACTGATAAATACAGCCAGGCATTGCTCATAGAATTCTTAGTCACGCATTCTAAGAAGTGTGTTGTTAGGCGATTTCATCATTGTGTGAACATCATAACGTGTACTTACACAAATCTAGATGGTGTATATGGTATAGCCTGTTGCTCCTAGGCTATAAATCTGTACAGCATATTACTGTACTGAATACAGTAAGCAGCTGTAACATAATGGCATGTATTTGTGTATCTAAACGTAGAAAAGAACAGTAAAAATATGGTATTATAATCTTATGGCACCGCTGTTGCATATGCAGTTTGTTGCTGACTGAAACATTGTTATGTGGCACATGACTGTACTAAGAGATGCATCAGTAAGGTAAAATTCCAGGAAGCCAGCAAAAGAACATCTAAGGGGCTGTAAACTGAAAGCTCCCAGAGATCACACAAGACTAAGAAATATAAGTTATTGCCAACCAGAGTTGAGTCTTTGTTCAGCACCAGAGGAATTCAGGTCTCCTTAGTGGTGAAGCTAACATAGCCTTAGAGTAAAGGTTACTCTAAAACTACTGTAAGAAAGCTTAAACACAAGTCGTCTTCTTTTTTTTAAGAGATGGCGAACTGCTCTGTCATCTAGCCTGGAAGTGCAGTGGCACAATCATAGTTCACTGCAGCCTCAAACTTCTGAGCTTAAGTAATCCTCCTGACTTAGCCTTCTGAGTAGCTGAGATTAGAGGTGTGGGCCACTGCACCTAGAATAAGTCTTGAAAAGATCAAACTAATCCAGTAGCAATTTAACTACCTAAAAGAGTGAAGTCTAAAGCTCTTTAAAGGAATACAAAATGTCCAGCATTTACCAATATAAAATTCACAGCATCCATAACCAGGAAAAAAATTGGTCTTAGATGTAGATGTAGATGTGAAAGAGATAATTTAACTAGCCAGTAAGAATGTTAAAGTAGTTATCATAAACATGCTGAAGGAGTTAAAGCAAAGTATGAACATAATAGAAGAAATAGGCAATATTAAATAGACCAAACACAACTCCTAAAAATAAAAATACATAATCTGTTATAGGAATAGAAAAAAACCTAAAGATAAAAATATAAAAATTGAGATATTTACTTATTTCTTTTCCAGATGTATAGATATTGAAAAGATTCATTACAAGTAGACCTACACTACAAGATATCTTAGGGGAAGTTTCAGATAATTGGAACTCTGGATCTACACCAAAGAATAAAGAACAATAGAAATGGTAACTTTGTAGGTAAACATAAAAGATTTTTTTAAAAAATCATTAATATTTAAGTGTCTGTAAAAGATAATGTCAGGAATTTGGAAGTCATCACTCACATCCTCACAATAAGAAAAAAGCTGAACAAACTGAAAATCAGCAACTTTTCTTAGATGCATCAGAGGACTGAGGTCATATGGCTAACTCACTACCTCCCAACTGGTAAGAGACAGATAAATACAGAGAATCCTAAATTACTTGAGCAGAAGCTCAGGTTATTATCAATAATAACCTTGCATGTAAACAAATTAAATCCCCCAATTAAAATATATAAACTGGCTAAATGAATAAAAAACACCCAACTATATGCTGCCTACATGAAACTCACCTCACCTGAAAAGACAGAGACTGACAGTAACAGGATGAAAAGAGATATTCCACACCAATGAAAACTAAAAGGAAGTAGGAGTAGCTATATTTACATCAGAAAAAAACAGACTTTAAGTTAAAAAGTACCAAGAGACAAATAATAACATTATATAATAATAAGGGAATCAATTCAGCAAGAGAATATAACAATTATAAAAATACATGCACCTGGCCAGGCACGGTGGCTCACGCCTGTAATCCCAGCACTTTAGGAGGCCATAGGCAGGAGGACTGCTTGAGCCCAGGAGCTCCAGACCGGCCTGGGTCACATAGGGAGACCCTCTATTTTAATAATAAAATTTTTGTAAAAGAGAGAACTTTTCAGCTGGGCACGGTGGCTCACGCCTGTAATCCCAGCACTTTGGGAGGCCAAGGAGGGCAGATCACCTGAGGTCGGGAGTTCAGGACCAGCCTGACCAACATGGAGAAACCCTGTTTCTAATAAAAATAGAAAATTAGCCAGGCATGGTGACGTATGCCTGTAATCCCAGCTACTTGGGAGGCTGAGGCAGGAGAATCACTTGAACCTGGGAGGTGGAGGTTGTGGTGAACCAAGATTGTGCCATTGCACTCCAGCCTGGGCAAGAAGAGTGAAACTCCATCTCAAAAAAATATATATATGTGTGTATATATATATATGCATCCAACACCAGAGCACCCAGATATATAAAGCAATTATTATTAGATCTAAAGGCAGAGGTACACCCCAATACAACAACAGTTGGAGACTTCAACACCCTACTCTTAGCATTGGACAGATCATCTAGACAGAAAGTCAACAAAGAAACTGCAAATTTAAACTGTACCATAGACCAAAAAGACCTAGAAGACATTTACAGAACATTTCATAGTACTTGCAGAATACACATTCTCTTCATCAGCACATAAAACATTCTCCCGGATTGGCCATATGTTAGGACACAAAAAAGAAACCTTAAAAAATTGTTTCGCTCTCCCTCTCTCTCTCTTCTCTCTCTTTCCACGGTCTCCCTCTGTTGCTGAGGCTGGACTGTACTGCCGTGATCTTGGCTCGCTGCAACCTCCCTGCCTCGGGCTCCCGTGATTCTCCTGCCTCGGCCTGCCGAGTGCCTGGGATTGCAGGCACGCGACGCCATGCCTGACTGGTTTTTGTATTTTTGGTGGAGACGGGTTTTGCTGTGTTGGCCGGGCTGGTCTCCAGCTCCTGACCTCGAGTGATCTGCCCGCCTCGGCCTCCCGAGGTGCTGGGATTGCAGACGGAGTCTCGGTCACTTAGTGCTCAATGTTGCCCAGGCTGGAGTGCAGTGGCGTGATCTCCGCCCGGCTGCCCCGTCTGGGATGTGAGGAGCGCCTCTGCCCGGCCGCCACACTGTCTAGGAAGTGAGGAGCATCTCTGCCTGGCCGCCCATCATCTGGGATGTGGGGAGCGCCTTTGCCCGGCCGCCCCGTCTGGGAGGTGAGGAGTGCCTCTGCCCGGCCGCCCTGTCTGGGAGGTGAGGAGCGTCTCTGCCCGGCCGCCACCTCATCTAGGAAGTGAGGAGCGCCTCTGCCCGGCCACCACCCCGTCTGGGATGTGAAGAGCATCTCTGCCTGGCCGCCCCGTCTAGAAAGTGAGGAGCGCCTCTGCCCGGCCACCCCGTCTGGGAAGTGAGGAGCGCCTCTGCCCGGCCGCCCCATCTTGGGGGTGAGGAGCGCCTCTGCCCGGCCACCCATTGTCTGGGATGTGAGGAGCGCCTCTGCCCAGCCACCCCGTCTGGGAAGTGAGGAGCACCTCTGCCTGGCCGCTGTGCAATCTTCCAAGTGTGAAGTGACAGCCTTTCTGCAGGTGTACCCAACAGCTCCGAAGAGACAACGACCATTGAGAATGGGCCATGGTGACGATGGCGGTTTTGTCGAAAAGAAAAGGGGGAAATGTAGGGAAAAGAAAGAGAGATCAGATTGTTACTGTGTCTGTGTAGAAAGAAGTAGACATAGGAGACTCCATTTTGTTCTGTACTAAGAAAAATTCTTCTGCCTTGGGCTGCTGTTAATCTATAACCTTACCCCCAACCCCGTGCTCTCTGAAACATGTGCTGTGTCAACTCAGGGTTAAATGGATTAAGGGCGGTGCAAGATGTGCTTTGTTAAACAGATGCTTGAAGGCAGCATGCTCGTTAAGAGTCATCACCACTCCCTTATCTCAAGTACCCAGGGACACAAACACTGCGGAAGGCCGCAGGGTCCTCTGCCTAGGAAAACCAGAGACCTTTGTTCACGTGTTTATCTGCTGACCTTCTCTCCACTATTATCCTATGACCCTGCCACATCCCCCTCTCCGAGAAACACCCAAGAATGATCAATAAATACTAAAAAAAAAAAAAAAAGAAAGAAAGTTGATCTCATGAGAAAGAGTAGAACAGAGGCTGGGAGGGGTTGGCAGGATAAGGATAAACTTGTTAAAGGATACAAAAATTAAAGCTAGATAGGAGGAATAAGTTCTACTGTTCTGTAGCACTGTAAGATGACTATAGTTAATAATAATTTATTATATACTTTCAAATAGCTAGAAAAGAGGATTTTGAATGTTCCCAACACAAATCATAAAACTTTGAAAAAAAATTGTTTCAATTGAACTAATATTAAGTATCTTATCTGACCACAATGGAATAAAAGTATAAACCAATAACAAGAGGAACACTCAGAACTATACAAATACGTGAAAACTAAACAACATGCTCCTGAGTGACCAATTGATTAAAAAAAGAAGTTAAGAGAGAAAGTAAAAAATACCTCACCCCTGTAATCCTAGCACTTTGGGAGGCTAAGGCAGGCAGATTGCTTGAGTCCAGGGATTCAAGACCAACCTGGGCAACATGGCAAAACCTTGTTTCTACCAAAAACAGAAAAAATTAGCCAAGTGTGGTGGCATATGCCTGCAGTCCCAACTACTTGGGAGGCTGATATGGGAGGATTGCTTGAGCCCAGGAGGTTGAAACCACAGTGAGCTGTGATCATACCACTGCACTCCAGCATGGGGGACAAAGTGACACCCTGTTTCAAAAAAAAAAAAAATTCCTTGAAGCAAATGAAAATAGAAACACAGCATACCAAAATGTATGGGACACAACAAAAGCCATGTTTATAGCAAGTTTACAGCAAGTATAGCAAGAGGCAAGTTTATAGCAATAAATGCCTACATTAAAAACAGAAAGATTTCAAATAAATAAGCTAATGATGCACCTCAAGAAACTAGAAAAGCAAGAACAAACCAAACTCAAAATTAGAAAAAGGAAAAAAAAATAAAAAGCAGAAATAAATGACATTGAGACTAAAAAAATAGAAAAGATCAATGAAACAAAAAGTTGGTTTTTCAAAAAGATCAACAAAATTGACAGAGCATTAACTAGACTAAGAAAAAAAGAGAAGACCCAAATAAAATCACAAACAAAAGGAGACATTACAGTTGATACTGTGGAAATACAAAAGATCATCAGAGACTATTATAAACAATTATAAACTAATCAATTTGAGAACCTAGAGAAGATGGGTAAATTTGTTGACACATACGACCTATCAAGATTGAACCAAGGAGAAATAGAAAACCTGAACAGATCAATAATGAGTAATGAGATTGAATCACAGTAATGAAAAGGAAATCAAGAAAGAAAAGTCCAGGACCAGATGTCTTCACTGCTGAATTCTACCAAACTTTTAAAGAACTAATATTTTTAAAAATTCTTCTCAAACTATTCCCAAAAATTGAAGGGGAGGGAATTCTTCCAAACCCATTTTACAAGGCCAGCATAACCCTGACGCCAAAACCAGATAAAAACACAACATAAAAAAACTAGACCAATGTCTCTGATGAACATAAATGCAAAAATCTTCAACAAAATCTGAATTCAACAGCACATCAAAAATATCATACACTATTATCAAGTGGATTTATCCTAGGGATGCAAGGATTATTCAACCTACACAAATAATGTGAGACATCACAACAGAATGAAGGACAAAAACAACACGATCATCTCAATAGATCCAGAAAAAGCGTTTGATAAAATTCAATATCCCTCATAAAACTCTCAATAAATTAGGCATAGAAGGAAGTACCTCAACACAATAAAGGCTATATAAGACAAACCCACAGCTACCATATACTGAACTGGAACAAGACAAGGATACCCACTCTCATCACTCTTATTCAACATATTAATAGTACTGAAAGTCTTAGCCAGAGCAATTAGGCAAGGGGAAAAAAATGAAGGGCATTCAAATTAGAAAGAAGGAAGTCAAATTGTCCCTGTTTGTGGATGACATGATTTTATATATAGAAAAACTTAGACTCTACCCAAAAAACTCTTAAAACTAATAAATTCAGTAAAGTTGCAGGATATAGATATCAACATACAAAAATTGGTGGTGTTTTTATATAAGAACAATGAACTAGCTGGAAAAGAAATCAAGAAAGTAATTCCATCTGCAAAAATTACAAAAAATAAAATACCTAGGAATAAATTTAACCAAGGAGGTGAAGGCTCTCTACAAGGAAAACTTAAAAAACACCAAAAAACAATGATTTTTTGAAAGAAATTGAAGAAGACATCAAAAAATAGAATGACATCCCATCTTTATGGATTAGAAAAATTAATATTGTTAAAATGACTCTACTACCCAAGGTGATCAAAAGATTCAATGCACTCTCTATCAATATACCAATGATGTTCTTCACAGAAATAGAAAAAAAAAAATCCTAAAATTTGCATGGAACCACGAAAGACCGCAAATAGCCAAAACAATACTAAGCAAAAAGAACAAATCTAGATGCATCACAGTACCAGGCTTCGAAATATACTACCAAAGCTCTATTAACGAAAACAGCATGGTACTGGCATACAACCAGACACACAGACCAGTGGAACAGAATAGAGAACCCATAAATTAATCCATGTATCTACAGCCAACTGACTTTTGACAAAGATGCCAAGAACATTGATTGGGGAAGGACAGTCTCTTCAGTAAATGGTTCTGGGGAAAATTGGATATCCATATGCAGAAGAGCAAAACTAGACTCTCTCCTCTTATTCTACACAAAAATCAACTCAAAATCTCTTCAAGACCTAAATGTAAAACCTGAAGCTATAAAACTACTAGAAGAAAACCTGGGGAAATGCTTCAGGACATTGGTCCTGGAAAAGATTTTATGAATAAGAACTCAAAAGTACAGGCAACAAAAGCAAAATATAAATAAGTGGGATTATATCAAACTAAAAAAGCTTCTGCACACCAAAAGACACAACACAATGAAAAGACAACCTACAGAATGGGAGAAAGTATTTGCAAACTGGCCAGACGTGGTGGCTTATGCCTGTAATCCCAGCACTTTGGGAGGCTGAGGCAGGTGGATCATGAGGTCAGGAGTTCGAGACCAGCCTGGCCAACATGGTGAAACCCTATCTCTACTAAAAATACAAAAAAAAAAAAAAAAAAAAAAAATTAGCCGGGCATGGTGGTGGGCACCTGTAAACCCAGCTACTGAGGAGGCTGAGGCAGGAGAATCACTTGAACACAGGAGGCAGGGGTTGCAGTGAGTCAAGATCGCACCACTGCACTCCAGCCTGGGCGACAGACTGAGACTCAAAAAAAAAAAAAAAAAAAAAGGAAAGAAAAGAAAATATTTGTAAACTATTCATCCACCAAAGAATTAATATCCAGAATATACAAGGAACTCAGACATGTCAACAGAACAAAAAAATCTAATTTTTAAATGGGCAAATGAGGCTAGCATGATGGTTCATGCATGTAATCTCAGCACTTTGGGAGGCCAAGGCAGGTGGATCACTTTAGCCCAGGAGTGCGTGACTGGGCAACACAGCAAAACCCTGTCTCTACAAAAAGAAAAATACAAAAATTAGCCAAGCATGGTGGCTTGTGCCTGTGTCCCAGCTACTTGGGAAGCTGGGGTGGAAGGATCACCTGAGCCGGGCAGGTGGAGGTTGCAGTGAGCCAAGAAAGTGCCACTGCACTCTAGCCTGGGTGACAGAGTGAGACTCTGTCTCAAAAGAAAAAAAAAATAGGCAAATGATCTGAACAGACAGTTCTAAAAGGACAACACACAAATGGCCAAAAACACATGAAAAAATGTTTGATATCACTAATAATTAGGGAAATTGTGGGGAAAAGAAAGAGAGATCAGACTGTTACTGTGTCTAGATAGAAAGGGAAGACATAAGAGACTCCATTTTGAAAAAGACCTGTACTTTAAACAATTGCTTTGCTGAGATGTTGTTAATTTGTAGCTTTGCCCCAGCCACTTTGACCCAACTACTTTGACCCAACCTGGAGCTCACAAAAACATGTGTTGTATAAAATCAAGGTTTAAGGGATCCAAGGCTGTGCAGGACTTGCCTTGTTAACAAAATGTTTACAAGCAGTATACTTGGTAAAAGTCATCGGCATTCTCTAGTCTCAGCAAACCAGGGGCACAATGCACTGCGGAAAGCCGCAGGGGCCTCTGCCCTTGAAAGCTGGGTATTGTCCAAGGTTTCTCCCCATGTGATAGTCTGAAATATGGCCTTGTGGGATGAGAAAGACCTGACCGTCCCCCAGCCCGACACCTGTAAAGGGTCTGTGCTGAGGTGGATTAGTAAAAGGGGAAAGCCTCTTGCAGTTGAGATAGAGGAAGGCCACTGTCTCCTGCCTGCCCCTGGGAACTGAATGTCTCGGTATAAAACCCGATTGTACATTTGTTCAGTTCTAAGATAGGAGAAAAACCGCCCTATGGTGGGAGGCGAGACATGTTTGCAGCAATGCTACCTTGTTATTCTTTACTCTGCTGAGACGTTTGGGTGGAGAAAAACATAAATCTGGCCCACATACACGTCTAGGCATAGTATCTTCCCTTGACCTTAATTATAACATAGATTCTTTTGCTCACATGTTTTTTGCTGATCTTCTCCTTATTATCACCCTGTTCTCCTTCTACACTCCTTTTTGCTAAAATAATGAAAGTAATAATCAATAAAAACTGAGGGAACTCAGAGGTCGATGCCGGTGCAGGTCCTTGGTGTGCTGAGTACCGGTCCCCTGGACCCACTGTTGTTTCTCTATACTTTGTCTCTGTGTCTTATTTCTTTTCTCAGTCTCTCGTCCCACCCAACTAGAAATACCCACAGGTGTGGAGGGGCAGGCCACCCCTTCAGGAAATGCAAATCAAAACCACAGTGAGATATCATCTCACCCCAGTTAGAATGGCTATCATCAAAAAGCCAAAAAATACAAATGCTGGTGAGGATGCAGAGAAAAGGGAACTCTTATGCACTGTTGGTAGGATTGTAAACTAGTACAACCATTACGGAGAACAGTATGGAGGTTCCTCAAAAACTACAAATCAACCTACTGTATGATCCAGTGATCCCACAACCAGGCCTTTATCTAAAGGGAAGGAAATCATTATATTGAAGAGATGTCTGCACCCTGATTTTTTTTGGTAGCACTATTCACAATAACCAAGGTATGGAATCAACCTAAGTGTTCAACAACAGATGAAGGGATAAAGACAATGTGGTATACATACACAATGGAATACCATTCAGCCATAAAAAGAATGAAAACTTCTCATTTGTGGCAACGGGAATGAAACTGAATGACATTATGTTCAGTGAAATACGCCAGGAACACAAAGTTAAACACCACATGTTCTCACTTATATGCAGACGCTAAAATGAAGTTGATTTCATAGAAGTAAAAAGTAGAACAGAGTATACTAGAGGCTGGGAAACAGGGAAAAGCAGGGATTAGGGAGAAATTTGTTAAAGGATACAAAAGAAGTTCTAGTATTCAATAGCACTGTAGGATGAGTGTAGTTAACAATAATATATTATTGTTGACTCTTGAACAACCAACACAGGAGTTAAGGTGCTGACCCCCCATGTGGTCAAAATTCATGTATAATTTTTGACTCCCCCAAAACTTAACTACTAGTAGTCTATTGTTGACTGAAAATCTTACTGATAAACAGTTAATTGTACATATATGTCATATGCATTATATACTATATTCTTACAATAAAGTATACCAGAAAAATGTTATCAAGGAAATAATAAGAAAAATGCATTTACGGTATATACTGTATTTACCAATACTGTAAATTTACATAATCTGTTTACAAGATGAAATGTCTGTCTGAAATGGTGGGTAACCATGCTGCAGACCTCAATTTATGGTAAATATCAAACAATTCCATTTTTTCTTGTAAAGTAATGACTCTTCTCTGTCTCTTGGGAGAACTTCCAGGAAAACTACAAACCAAAATCTCTCATGAAAATAGACACAAAAATTCTCGACAAAATATTAGCAGATCAAATCCCATAATGTATACAAAGAATTATACACTAGTGGCACTTTGTATGGGTCTTATGTTATTCCAAGTTTGTGATATTTTACTAAACACAACGAAAAATACACGAGAACCATGAAGAGATCACTTTTTACTGCCATACCCAATGTACTGAAGAGATGAACTGCTCTTGAGATGATGAGCATCACCTGACATTTTAAGTGGATAATTGTAACACTTAAGCTCATGTCAACAGCAACAGGAGGTGGCTACAAAATTATTACAGTAGTACAGTGTGTGCCACAGTTAATTTTATGCAGTTATGATTTGATGCTGCATCTTTATATTTGTTTATATTTCTTGACTGCAAATGATGCCATGTATGAACTGTGTGTGAGCTTTGATAAATTTCAACTTTTTGTAACAGATTTGTACATATTTTATGGTAGTAAATGATAAAAATAGACTAGTATCTACATATATTTTATGTATTTATGACATACCTAACCTTTTCTTAATTTTTTGAATATTTCTGGCTAGGCAGTTCATCTGTCTTTTCAAAGTGTCACAAATCTTCAGAAATTTTTCCAGTATATTTATTTTTTAAAAATCTGTGTATAAGTGGACTGCTGCAGTTGAAACCCATGTTGTTCAAGGGTCAATTGTATATATTTTCAAATAGCTAGAAGAGAGAATACTGAATGTTCCTAGCACAAAGAAATGATAAATGTTTGAGATGATGGATATGCTCATTACCCTGATCTGATCACTATAACCTGTATGTTCTGAAATATTACTGTGGAACCAAAAAATACATACAATTATTATATGTTAATTAAAAGATACAAAAATGAAAATAATGGCTTGTTCAAAATAATAATAGCAACAATGTATTTGGTGACTATAGCTATGGATAAGTGAAATGAATGACCACAGTGTTATAAGGCACGGGGGAGGGGAAACTGTAAAGAGTCTGTTACAAAGTACTTGCAGGAAGTGGTATAGTGTTATTTGAATGAGGACTTAGATAGATTAGTTGTAAATGTACATTGCAAACTCAAGGGCAATAACAAAAAAAAGTTTTTTAAAAAAGTAAGTATAATTGATCTGCTAAGAGAAGAGAAAAAATGGAATCATACAAAATAGTTAAAACCAGAGAAGACAGAAAAATAGAAGAGGAAAACAGTAACAACAACAACAGAACAAGGGCAATGAATAGGAAACAGTAACATATATGGTAGATATTAATCCAACTGTATCAGTAATCAGTTTAAATGTCAATGGTCTAAATACATCAATTAAAAGACAGGTTGTCAGAGTGGATCCAAAAGCAAGACCCAACTATATGCTGTCTACAGGAAACCCACTTTAAACATAGAAAGACACAGATACATTAAAAGTAAAGAGATAGAGAAAGATATACCATGCTAACACTAATGAAGGGGAAGTAGGGTAGCTATATTAATTTCAGACTAAGAAGACTTCAGAGCAAGGAAAATTATTGGGAATTAAGAGGAGCATTACGTAAAGATAAAGAAGTCAGAATCTCCCAAAACTCTCACAAGGGAAAACAGATAATATGAATAGACCTGTATCTATTAATGAAATTGAATCAATAATTAATAACCTTCTAAAACAGAAAGCACCAAGCCCAGATGGGTTCACTGAATAATTCTAAACATATAATTAAACATAACTAAACATATAGGAAGAAATTAAACCAATTCCACCATGTCTTCCAGGACATAGTGGAAACTGGTTCTATGAAGCCAGTATTACCTAATGCCAGAGCCAAGCAAGACATTATAAGAAAGGAAAACTACAATCCAAAATCTCTCATAAAAATAGATGCAAAAATCCTCAACAAAAGGAACAAAATGTTAGCAAATATTAGCAACAAAATACAGCAAATCAAATCCAATTATGTATAGAAAGAATTATACACCACGACTAAGTGGGATTTATTATAGGTATGAAAGGCTGATTCAACATTTGAAAATCAATTAATGTAATTCATCATAGCAAGAGAGTAAAGAAGTAAAACCATATGATCCTATCAAAAGATGTAGAAAAAACATTTGACAGCTGGGCACAGGAGCTCACACCTGCAATCCCAGCATTTTGTGAGGCCAAGGCAGGCAGATAACTTGAGGTCAGGAGTTTGTGACCAGCCTGGCCAACATGGTAAAACCCTGTCTCAATGAAAAATACAAAAATTAGCCGGGCTTGGTGGCAGGTGCCTGTAATTCCAGCTACTGGGGAGGCTGAGGCAGGAGAATCGATTGAACCCAGGAGGCGGAGGTTGCAGTGAGCCAAGACGAGATAGAGCCACTGCCACTCCAGCCTGGGTGACAGATCAAGAATCTGTCTTAAAAAAAAAAAAAAAAGCAAAAGACCTGAACAGACATTTCACCAAAGAAGATATATAGTTGGCAAATAAGAATAGGAAAAGATGCTCAACATCACATTTCATTAGGAAATTCCAAATTAAAATGAAATACCACTAAACACTATTAAAATGGCCACTTTCCAAAATAGGTAACATGAACTCTTATTCATTGCTGGTGGAGACGCTAAATGGTACGGCCACTCAGGAAGACAGTTTGGCAGTTCTTTACAAAACTAAACATACTCTTACCATACAATCCAGCTGTTGCACTCCTGGTACTTACCCAAAGGAGTTGAAAACTTATGTTCTCACAAAAACTTACACATGAATGTTTGTAGCATATTATTCATAATTGCCAAAACTTAGAAGCAACTAAGATGTCCATCAGTAGGTTAATGAATAAACTGTGGTACATCCAAACAATGGAATATAATTCAGCACTAAAAAGAAATAAGCTAGCAAGCCATGAAAAGACAAAGAGGAACCTTACTACTAAGAGAAAAAATCCCATCTGAAAAGGCATACATAGCGCATAATTCCAACTATATAACCCTCTGGAAATGACAAAACTAAACCATGGAGATAACAAAAGAATCAGTGATTGGCAGGGTTGAGGGGAGGGAGGGCTGAATAAATAGAACACAGAGGATTTTTAGAGCAGTGAAACTACAATGATAGATATATGACATTACACACTTGCCAAAATTGATAGGTGTATAATACCCAGAGTGAAGCCTGATGTTACCTATGAACTTACTTAGGAGTGATAATGATATGTCAATGCAAGCTCATAGATGCTAACAAATATATCACTCTGGTAAGGGGTTTTGTTAGTGCAGGAGGTTGTACATAAGAAATCTCTATCTTCTGCTCAGTTTTGCTGCGAATCTGAAATTGCTCTACAAAATAAAGCCTTTTCAAAAAAAGGATGGGCAAGATATAGAAAACTATGAAACATTATAGAGTGAAATGAAAAAGAACTAAGGAAAATCGAGTGACATACTATGTTCTTAGATTGAAACACTCAGTATTGTGAAATTGTTAATTTTCCACAAACTGATTTACAGTTCCAATGCACTCCTCATCAAAACTTCAGTGCATTACTGGGTATCTTTCCACTTTGGACTTGACCAGATGATGCTAATATTTATATGGAAATGCAAAGATCCAAGAATAAGAAAGACACTCTTGTGTAAAAGAACAACAAACAAATGCAACAAAAACAAAGATAAATAGATGGGACTTAATTAAACTAAAAACCTCCTGCACAGCAAAAGAAATAATCAGCAGAGTTAACAGACAATCCACAGAGTGGGAGAAAATCATCACAATCTATATATCTGGCAAAGGATTAATATCCAGAATCTACAAGGAACTCAAATTAGCAAGAAAAAAAGCCAAACAATCTCATAAAAAAGTGAGCTAAGGACATGAATACACAATTCTCAAAAGAAGATATACAAATGGCCAACAAGCATATGGAAAAATGCTCAACATCACTAATTATCAGGGAATCGCAAATCAAAACCACAACATGATACCACCTCACTCCCGCAGGAATGGCCACACACAAAAAAAATGGATGTTGGCGTGGATGCGGTGAAAAGGGTACACTTTTACACTGTTGGTGGGAATGTAAACTAGTACAACCACTACAGAAAACAGTGTGGAGATTCCTTAAAGAGCTAAAAGTAGATCTACTGTTTGATCCAGCAATCCCCCTACTCGGTATCCCAGAGGAAAAGAAGTCAGTATATGAAAAAGACACCTGTACACACGTTTATAGCAGCACAATTTGCAATTGCAAAAATATGAAACCAGCCCAAATGCCCATCAATCAACAAGTGGATAAAGAAAATGTGACATATATATACCACAAAATACTACTCAGCCATAAAAAGGAACAAAATAATGGCATTCGCAGCAACCTGGATGGAATTGGAGACTACTACTTTATTTATTTATTTTGAGACGGAGTCCCACTCTGTAGCTCAAGCTGGAATGCAGTGGCGCTATCTTGGCTCACTGCAACCTTTGCCTCCAGGGCTCAACTGATTCTTGCCTCAGCCTCTTGAGTAGCTGGGACTACAGGCATGCGCCACCATGCCTGGCTAATTTTTTTGTATTTTTAGTAGAGACAGGGTTTCACCATGTTGCCCTGGGTGGTCTTGAGCACCTGAACTCAGGCGATCCACTTGCCTCGGCCTCCCAAAGTGCTGGGATTACAGGCGTGGGCCACCACACCCGGACTGGAGACTATTATTCTAAGTGAAGTAACTCGCTTCACTTACTGTAATGTAAAAGCAAACTTCGTATGTTCTCACTCATATATGGGAGCTATGCTATGAGGTCATAAAGGCATAAGAATGGTACGTTGGACTTTGGGGACTTGGGAGAAAGTGTGGGGGGTGGAGAGGGATAAGAGACTACACATTAGGTACAGTGTACACTGCTCTGGTGATGGGTGCACCAAAATCTCAGAAATCACCACTAAAGAACTTATTCATGTAACCAAACACCACCAGTTCCCCCAAAAACCAGTTGAGATAAATAAAAAATTAAAGAACAAGATGAAACACTATCAGAAATCAAGATTAATTACACACATACACATTAATGGAACTGAATAGACAGTCCAGAAACAGATCTAGATATATGAATGTATTATTTATGGCAAGGAAGGCACTACAGAGCAGTAGGGAAAAGGCCAAGTCTTTTCAACAAGTGGAGAGCTGCATGGTAAAAATGTAAAATTTGACATTTCCTTAGACCACACACACACATCAGTTGCATGTGGCTTGTACATCTAAATGTGAAACGCATAATAAAGCTTCCAGATGGTTATATAGGAGAATACCTTCATAATATTGGGCTGTGAAAAGAGTTTTCACAAAGCAAGAACCATAAATCAGATTATATTAAAATTAAGAACTTGTGCTCAGCAAAAGGCAGCATTAAGAGAAAGAAAAAGCAAACTAGAGAGTGAGTGCCAATTTGTCACATACAATTGTCAAGGGATTTGTGTCTAGAATATATAAAGAACTCACACAAATCACTAAGAAAAACCCAATAGAGAAATGGACAAGTGATGTGAACAAGTACACTAGAAGATTTCCAAGTGGCCTATAAACATGAACAAGTGTTCAACTTCATTAGTCATCAGAGAAATATAAATTCAAACCATGATGCAATAATATGTATCACATACCAAAACAGATTTTTTTAACAACAATATAAAACGTTGGTGGGGGCCGGGTGCAGTGGCTCACACCTGTAATACCAGCACTTTGGGAGGTCGAGGCAGGCAGATCACGAGGTCAGGAGTTTGAGACCAGCCTGGCCAACATAGTGAAACCCTGTCTCTACTAAAAATACAAAAATTAGCTGGGCATGGTGGTGCACGCCTGTAGTCCCAGCTACTCGGGAGGCTGAGGCAGGAGAATCGCTTGAACCCGGGAGGCGGAGGTTGTGGTGAGCCAAGATCCCACAACCGCATTCCAGCCTGGGCAACAGAGTGAGACTGTCTCAAAACAAACAAACAAACAAACAAACAAAAAACCAACAAAAATAAAACGTTGGTGGGGATCTGGTGCAATGGAATGCTCAAATTCTGTTAATGGGATATAAACTGGTACAATCATTCTGGAAAACAATTTGTAATTTTCTTTCTGGACATCTTCCCAACAGAAACGTGTGCACATGTGCCCTCTACATTTATACACAAGAGTGTTCATAGCACCATTACTTATAATAGTGCCAAACTGGAAACAACCCATCTGTTCATTGAGTAGAACAGGTAACGTCAATGTATTCTTATAATGGAATACTGTAAAGCAGTCAAAACAAATGAACTAGCCTCATGCTACCACATGGATGAATCTCAAAAGTAATGTTGAGGAAAAGAAGCCAGATAAAAGAATAAAGAATACATATTACTTGCTTTCATTCATATATGTAATATATATATATGTCAAGCTAATCTGCAGTGTTATAAATGAGTCTATGGTAGTTACCTTTTTGGGGTAGTAAGGAGGTGGTAACTGAAAGGAGTACAAGTGCTTCAAGGATGGTGGGGAAATGTTCTATTTCGTCACCAGATCCTCCCTTTGTAAGAATTTGTTGAACTGTACATTAATACTCTGTGAACTTTTCTGTTACATAAATTTTAAAAATTAAATAAACACCGATACTATCGTAGAAGCCATTGTTATCAGTGAAATGCACAAGTAAAATCATGACTTAAGCGAAGAAAAATATAGACTTCTGTGAGAAGACATATTCACAGATTTGATTTTCCAGGGAGGTTTTAAAAATAAATAAATTATGGTAAAAGCAAGTAACTTACAGAAGAAGATTGGCACATAATAAAAAGGAAAATAACAGCTTGTCCTTCTCAAATAGTGATCGGCATATATTACAATATAAGTTGTATGTGAAGTGGTCATTTAAATATCGTAGGCGCTTTTCCAAAATCTTGGATTTGTTACTAAAGTTAAAAAGAAGGAAAACGTATTGTCAAACAAAACTAAGAAAATATAAGCAATGTGAATTAACATATACACTTTTTATTTTATGAAAGTATCACTATTAAAAACGTATAAAGATACACACACGAGGGCATGTAAAACTGGTGAAATCTGAATAAGCTCTATGGGTTGTAGCAATGTCAGTTTCTCGGTTGTACTATAGGCAAGATGCTAGCACTGGAGAAACAAGATGAAGGGTACGTGAAACCTCTCTGCACGTATTTTTCTGTGTGCAACTTCTTGTGAGTCTGTAAGTATTTTAAAATAAAAAGTTTTAAAATGTAGGGTATAATTCTCTGAGAAAGTGAAATATGGTTTACACCATCTCTCTATTTTCCAAATCCTAAATATCTTATTCTGCCCCAAAGTGACTGAAGACAATCAGTTAATTAAAAAAAAAAATGCCTATTAAATCTCTATTAGTGTAAGGCTCTATGGTAGGGAGGGAAATGTAACAGACAAAGCATTATGAAACATTTGCCCGCCCCAAAGAAGCATAAAGTCTAGATAAAAATCTACATAATTTAAAAATGCATGAAAAGGTCAGGCGCAGTGTCTCCTGCTTGTAATCCCAGCACTTTAGGAGGCCGAGGTGGGTGGATCATTTGAGGTCAGAAGTTTGAGACCAGCCTGGTCAACATGGTGAAACCTCATCTCTACTAAAAATACAAAAATTAGCCAGGGGTGGTGGTACACGCCTGTAATCCCAGCTACGAGGGAGGCTGAGGCAGGAGAATTGCTTGAACCCGGGAGGTGGAGGTTGCAGTGTGAGATCACGTCACTGCACTCGAGCCTGGGTAATGGAATGAGACTCCGTCTCAAAAAGAAAATAAAATGCATAAAAAGTCAGAAAACATATGGATAAATATAGTTACTGGGTGGAGTTGACTGATACTCTTTATACTCTCATATTCCAAAAAATGTTTACAATAAGCATATATGGCTTTCAATTTTTTTCAGTTTAATTTTTAAATGTAATACTTATGGGAATATAAAATGATGTAGCCATTCTAAAAATAGTTTGGCACTTTATTTTTTTTTTTTGGAGACAGGGTCTCACCCTGTCACCCAGGCTGGAGTGCAGTGGCATGATCACAGCTCATTACAACCTCTACCTCCTGGGCTCAAGTAATCTTCCCATCTCAGCCTCCTAAGTAGCTGGGACTACAGGTGCATGGCACCATGCCCAGCTAGTTTTTTTGTATTTTTTGTAGAGATGGGGTTTCACTATGTTGCCCAGGCTGTCACTTTCTTTAAAAAATTTTTAAAAACTAAACTAAAAAGCTTCTGCACAGCAAAAGAAACTATCAACAGAGTAAACAGACAGCCTACACAATGGGAGAAAATATTTTCAAACTGTACATCTGACAAAGATCTAATATCCAAAATCTGTAAGGAATTTAAATTAATTAACAAGCATAAAACTAACAACCCCATTAAAAAGTAGGCAAAGGACATAGACACTTTTCAAAAGAAGACATACACATGGCCAAAAAGCATATGAAAAAATGCTTAAAATCATTAAGCATTAGAGAAATGCAAATCAAAACCACAATGGGATACCATCTCACACCAGTCAGAATGGCTATAATTAAAAAGTCAAAAAAATAACAGAAGCTGGTGAAGTTGTGGAGCAAAGGGAACACTTATACACTGCTGGTGGGAATGTAAATTAGTTCACCGTGGAAAGCAGTTTGGAGATTTCTCAAAGAACTTAAAACAGAACTACCATTTGACCCAGCAGTCCATTATTGGGTACATACCCAAAGGAATATAAATTGTTCTACCATAAAGACACGTATGCGTATGTTCATCACAGTACTATTCACAATAGCAAAGACATGGAATCAACCTAGATGCCTGTCAATCGTAGACTAGATAAAACTAATGTGGTACAGATACACCATGGAATACAACACAGCCACCAAAAGGAATGAACTCATGTCCTTTGGAGCTGGAGACCATTATCCTAAGCAAACTAATGCAGGAACAGAAAACCAAATACCACATGTTCTCACTTACAACACTGAGTACACATGGACACAAGGAAGGGAACAATAGACACTGAGGCCTACTCAAAGGTGGAGAGTAGGAGGACGGTGAGGTTCAAAAAACTACCTATTGGGTACCATGCTTATTACCTGGGTGATGAAATAATCTGTATACTAACCCCCTGTGACATGTAGTTTACCTGTATAACAAACCTGCACATGTACCCCTGAATGTAAAAGTTTAAAAAAAGAGTCCTCAATAAACCCTATGTCTTGTTTGCTAAAAAAAAAAAGAAAAAAAAAAAGAAAAAAAATCTAAACAAACAGCTGCTACATAACCCAGCAATTGCACTCTTGGGTATTTATCTCAGAGAAATAAAAATTTCTATTCACAAATACACGTACATGAATGTTTATAGCAGTTTTATTCATAGTAACCCCAAACTGGAAGTAATTCAGAAGTCCTTCAACAGGTAGATGATTAAACAGATTTTAATCTGTGGTAAATTCATGCTATGAATTATTTCTCAGCCATCAAAAAGAGCCAAATATTTATATACACAGCAACTTGAACAAATCCCTGGAGAATTATGCTGAGTAAAAAAAGCCAATCTCAAAACATTACATGCCATATGATTCTATTTATATAAAATTTTTGAAGTAACAAAAGCACAGAAATGGAGAACAGGTTAGTGGTTGCCAAGGGTTACGGAAGGGGTAAGGATGGGAAGGAAGTGGGTATAGCTATAAAAGGGGAACACAGAGATCCTTGTGGTGGTAGAAATATTCTGTATCTTGACTGTATTAATGTTATTATCATGGTTGTGATATTGTTCTACAGGTTTTCAAAATGTCACCATTGGGGCAACTGGGTAAAAGGTACATGAGATCTTTATTATTTCTCATAATTGCATGTGAATCTACACTTAACTCAAAATTAAAAATTTGATTTTTAAAAAGTAATACATAGGACCATGGGAATGGGATGGAAGGGATGGTGGTATTGACACTTCTCTGAGTAAATCTTTTGGTACAGGATTGAATTTTGGAGTCATTAATGGTTCATGTACTCAAACATATAATAAAATTAAAGTCAACAAAGATGAAGAAAAACCCTAAAATGAAATATAAAAATAAACAAATGAACCTAACTGTATTTCACATGAATAACATCACATGTTGAAGGGGGGAAAACTAACCCAAGTAAGTTGAATATAGCATTTTATGCCTAAATTTTTTTTTAACTTTAAGTTTTTGTGTGAACATATGCAATCAATTCTTTTGGGTATATACCCAGGAATGGAATTGCTGGGTCATATGGCAAATCTAGGTTTAATATTTTGAAGAACTTACAAAGTGGCCACCTTATTTTAAAATCCAACCAGCAGTGTAAGAGGGTTCCAATTACTCCACATCCTCACCAAAACTTGATATTGACATTTTTATGTCAATTCTTTAACTTGAATTTCCTTCATCATATGGGTTGTATAAATTCAAATTCCAAATCCCAACTGAGAAGGGATTTCAATCACTCAGCAGAGGTTATTCTACCAAGAGCCAATGTAGAAACTTCTCACAGCATACATGATTGGCTCAAGTCGTATTTTTATTTTACTTAACAAGTACAGCAGTTAGTAAATACCAGACATTGTTATAAACACTTTACAAAAATTATCTCATTTAATTCTCATAAAAACCCAAAAGGTAGGTATTATTATTATCCCAATTTTATAGATAAGAAAAATTGAGGCAATTACCTCACGTTAACGAATTTGCCTGTAGGCATGCAGCTAGTATGTGGCAGAACTGAGGTGTAATCCCCAACTCCAGTCTGACTCCAAAATTTGCATACATTCATTAAGTGATTAAAGTGCAAATATCTAGAAAACTATTAGAAATGTGGGGCCAGGTGCAGTGGCTCACTCCTGTAATCTCAGCACTTAGGGATGCTGAGTCGGGCAGATTTCTTGAGTCCAGGAGTTCGAGACCAGCCTGGGCAACATGGTGAAACCCCATCTCTACAAAAAAATTCAAAAATTAGCCAGACATAGTGGTGTGCACCTGTAGTCCCAGCTGCTCTGAAGGCTGAGCTGGGTGGATCACCTGAGCCTGGGAGGTTGAGGCTGCAGTGAGCTGTGATTGTGCCACTGCACTCTAGCCTGGGTGACAGAGTGAGACCTTGTCTCAAAAATAAATAAATAAATAAATAAATAAATAAATAAATAAATAAATAAAATAAAGAAAAAAGAAATGTGGGACTGAAGCCTTTTAGAGACCTCAGTCTTGGAGAAAGATGCGCTAGAGTTGCTAGGAAAAATAAATCATGTGCCTGCCTCATTGAAATATTTAAGAGAGAGAAGAAAAAAACTAAAGTTAATCCTTCCATGCCTAAATCTTGAGTAGGAGTGAAACAACAACTTAAAATAGAAAAGAGGTTTTGATTATCTTTCATGTCTTTTTTTCTTTCACTTTTCCACTTTTTTATTTTGTATTTTTATTTTTTAAGACAGTCTCACTCTGTTGCGCAGGCTGGAGTGCGGGGGTGCCATCTCGACTCACTGCAACATCCACCTCCTGAGTTCAAGCGATTCTCCTCCTGCCTCAGCCTCCTGAGTAGCTGGGATTACAGGTGCCCGCCACCACGCCTGGCTAATTTTTGTATTTTTAGTAGATATGGGGTTTCATCATGTTGGCCAGGCTGGTCTCGAACTCCTGACCTCAAGTGATCTGCCTGCCTCAGCCTCCCAAAGTGCTGAGATTACAGGTGTGAGCCACCGCACCCGGCCATTTTTCCACATTTTTAATGTTCTGTAATGGATATACATTATATAAGTTTTAAAAAAAAGTTACATTTTTTTAAATGGAAAGGGCTGTGAAAATCCAACCTCGGGAAGATGAATAAAGCGAGAGAATGTTTACCTGTCATGAATAGAGTTGATATAAAGGTTCACAAACCACGTGAGAGAGTACTGATACATGGGATCAATATTAGCCAGGTCTGCAATGCTAAAGAATAACACTGACGAGTGTTTGGCGATGGGTCTATAGCCTTCTCGAGACTCTGCTATTTTGAGTTCTGTTTTTTCTGCAATCTAGGAGAACAGAAAAAGCGAGATTAAGAAATAGGAAGAGTATTTTAGTTATGTACTTTTCATATAATGAAGTATATATATTTTAAAAAAATCTCAGTGCAATAACAGTATATGAGTTTAAGTATGGTTTACAAGAGAGGGCTTTATCATACTAAAAGCCAGAAATAAAGAAAACAAAAGGGGATGAAGGAAAGAACTAGGGATGGAGGAAAGGGGAAGGAGAGAAAGGAGGAACAAGAGAGGAAAAAAGAAAAAACAAGTTTAAACTTTAGATTAACAGTATGATCAGCTACCAACCATCTCTTTCTTGAGACATACCAAATAAGAAAGCTTTGCTTATTCTTTGACTGACTGACCTGTGTCTACTGTAGTCATTCACCTTCTTTTATCTTAACAGGTCAGAGATAAAGAGGGAGAGAGGGATGGAGAGCAAGTGTACATGTGCGTATATTTAAGGTGTTAACTCGTGTACTGGAACCCAGCACAGTCTGGCAAAGTAGGTATTCAAAACTATTTGTTGATTGATGGTTTTATATACAAGAATGCTTTTTCAACTAGCTTCTCATATGTTTAATTTTCTAACTTAACAGGGCTGTAGATATTCAACCCCCAAAGAAAAATGTTCTCCAAGATAATAGCTCTTCAACTCAATCGGATAGGTTGATATTCTATAGAAAAAAATGTTTCGAGCACTATTCCAACTCACTCTTCTTTCTTTGGTAATGCTATCCACAGACTCTGATGAATGGTATGCCTATGTAGTCATGTTTATATCAAATCCTGTTTGTTGCTAATTTAATCAAGAGGCAGGGCTAGAACCAGATCCAAGATAAGGTAATCAAAAATTTCCCTGGAGAATTAAAACTTTAAAAGCCTCGGAAACTGAAGTTAGGTGGCATTGGCATTAGGAGTAAAAGGTAGTGGGACTTTTTCTACATGTTGGTTTCTACATGCTAGATGAGTATATAAAGGAAGAGATACAAAAGTCTTAAAAGAAACTGGTCTTCAGATAGAGTAGAGGGAAGCACAGAATGACCACACAGCCCCGGAGGTAGAGGAAGAGACAGAGAGTACAGAAACTTAAGGCCTTCCGTTCATCCTTGAGGTCTGGATGTATGTCCTATAATTGAGAAAATAAATTATTCCCTTGTATCTTTTTTATTTTAGCTAATTCAAGTGGGTTCCTGTTCCTTGCAAACAAACTTTCCCCAAAATTACACTGTATAACCACAAATGAACTAAAAATAAGTTTGGAATCTCAGTCCTAACTATAAATAAGTAAAACAAAGTTATCGACAATGGGAATTAATGACATCTTATGTAAGAAAGCATAATTTTTGTATTCTCACTTAAACCTTTTGCTATTTAAACTTTGACTTTCAATTCAAATGTCATTTTGCAATTAATAGCAATAGCAAGCAGAAACAAACAGGAAATATAACTTTTATTTTTTTGAAAGGGAGTCTTGCTCTGTCACCCAGGCTAGAGTGCAGCGGCATGATCTCAGCTTACTACAACCTCCACCTCCTGGGTTCAAGCGATTCTCCTGCCTCAGCCTCCCAAGTAGCTGAGATTACAGGCGTCCACCACCACACCTGGCTAATTTTTGTATTTTAGTAGAGATGGGGTTTCACCATGTTGGTCAGGCTAGTCTCGAACGCTTGACCTCAGGTGATCCACCTGCTTTGGCCTCCCAAAGTGCTGGGATTACAGGCATGAGCCACTGCACCCGGCCGTAATTTTTAAACATTAAATAATAACTTAATTAGTATTCCATGGCTTGATCTATGCATACTTACAGTGTTTGCTAAACTTGAATCCTTAGCATGAAATGCTAGGCTTAAGAAATATAAATACATTTTAAAAATCATTTACCATTAGTGTTCTAAAATCAAAGAACAAGATATTTTCTAAGAAATAAATACTATGGGCTGGGCACGGTGGCTCACGCCTGTAATCCCAGCACTTTGGGAGGCTGAGGCGGGTGGATCATCTGAGGTCCGGAGTTCGAGACCAGCCTGACCAATATGGAGAAACCCCATCTCTACTAAAAATACAAAATTAGCCGGACGTGGTGGCGCATGCCTGTAATCCCAGCTACTCCAGAGGCTGAGGCAGGAGAATGGCTTGAACCCGGGAGGCAGAGGTTGCTGTGAGCCGAGATTGCGCCATTGCACTCCAGCCTGGGCAACAAGAGCGAAACTCCATCTCAAAAAAAAAAAAAAAAAAAAAGAAAGAAAGAAAGAAATACTGTGAGTATATGTTAAGATGTTAAAAGAGGGCAACTCATTACTTGTAAAACTTTTTCTGGTCTGTGATATTTATATATATTATACTTTCCAAAAATAAAAAAGACTAAACTTCAGTCAGGAAACCACTGGAGTAGCAGTAGGGGTAAATTTTGAAATCTCTAGAATAAACTTGTAAAGTTTTGTTTGTTTGTTTAATCTTGTGGGTTCAGGGAAAAGGGAAAAGCAGATTTTGACTATTTTGGAGAGCCTTCCCTGAAGATGTTTTTTCTTAGGTAGGTGGAGAAAGGTAGAATAGAAGTCAGGGTCAGATACAGAGTATGTTTTAGCTCAAACCATATAATGAATTTAAAACTATGTTTGCAATGATCAGTGGGATCCAGTCAGAAAGGTCCTATCATTTATTATATTTTTCTCACTGTAAGATAAAGCACTTGAACCAATAAATAATTAAATCTTCCTTTCTCTTCGAGTCTTAATAGGAAATAAGCCAATAAATGCTCCCTATCTTCTCTCCCCTTTGAAAACTAGTTTGGTGAGGGAACAAGTAGCAGCTTGTTCTGCTCTGATGGACGGGTATTGGGAAAGGAGACACTACAGAATATCTCAGCCATGGTCCCAGACTGGGGGCTGCCACAGAATATTACTCTAAGACCCTACTCCTTTGGCTCCCCCAAGATGAAAAACCCAAAACAAAACAAAGCACCAAATAGTACAAGTGACCAGAAAGCATGATTACCATCACATTCATGCAAAATAAATCTATCCAAAAGGGAAGGGTGCCTAGAGCTTTAGAAAGTCCTCTGTCCAGCCAGGCACAGTGGCTCATGCCTGTAATCCCAGCACTTCGAGAGGCCAAGGCAGGCGGATCACCTGAGGTTGGGAGTTCGAGACCAGCCTGACCAACATGGAGAAACCCCATCTCTACTAAAAATACAAAATTAGCCGGGTGTGGTGGCTTATGCCTGTAATCCCAGCTACTCAGGAGGCTGAGGCAGAAGAATCGCTTGAACTCGGAGGCGAAGGTTGCAATGAGCCAAGATGGTGCCATTGTACTATAGCCTGGGCAACAAGAGCGAAACTCTGTAACAACAACAACAACAACAACAACAAGTCCTCTGTCCCAGAGCAAGGGTGCATTGTGGGGTGGGGAGCAGTGCAGAGATGATGAGTAATTAGTGCAATCTCTGTTTAGCTTTCTTTTTATTTTTTAATTACCCTAAAGTGAAGGAGCACATAATTCATTGGGTGGGTCAAGGAAAACCAAAAGGCCTGAAGATCAATAACGTTAGCTTACAGAAGTCATTCTGTAATACCATTTAATTGTGTAAACTTGGGCCTTAGCCAACCTTTCTGGGCCCTAGTTTCCTCAACTATGAAGTGCAAAAAATAACTGCTTGCTAACGCCTTTTCTGCTTATAACATTGTATTATTCTATAAAAAGAGAAGTAACATAAAAATATCATTCAGGGCCGGGCACGGTGACTCACGCCTGTAATCCCTGCACTTTGGGAGGCCGAGACGGGTAGATCACCTGAGATCAGGAGTTCAAGACCAACCTGGCCAACATGATGAAACCCTGTCTCTACTAAAAATACAAAAAAATTGGCCTGGCATGGTGGGCGCCTGTAATCCCAGCTACTCAGGAGTCCTGAGGCAGGAGAATTCCTTGAACCCGGAGGTGGATGTTGGAGTGTGCTGAGATCACGCCACTGCACTCCAGCCTGGACAACAAGAGTAAAACTCTGTCTCAAAAAATATATATACGTATATATACACACACTTATATATATACATACGCACTATATATATATACACACACACTATATATATATACACACACACACTATATATATATATATATATATATATATCTCATTCAGCTCTGTTAGGTGAATTTGCAATAAATCCATTATTGGCTGTAAACTATTTGCCTCTCTTCCTCTACCTGCCACCCTCAACTCTTATACCTGTCTTCCCGACGAATGACAAGATAATGACGGAATTAATGTCTAAGAATCTCTATTTATTCCTAGAATCCCTAATTGTTCAATCAACTAGCAACTACCTCCACCAAGAACTCCAATCAGAAACAGAGGTAAGACAAGCTCTCAAATTCAATTTTCCAGAGAAGAGTCAATTAAAACCTGAATGAACCCAAGTATCCTGCTTTACCTATCCAATAATAATACCTATCTGATACTTCTAATAATACCTTACCAATCCAATAATAATAACTTACCTGTTCAATAATAATACCTTTCCAATATTTTTTTAAAATTATACTTTAAGTTCTAGGGTACATGTGCACAATGTGCAGGTTTGTTACACATGTATACAAGTACCATGTTGGTTTGCTGCACCCATTAACTCGTCATTTACATTAGGTATGCCTCCTAATGCTATCCCTCCCCACTCCCCCCACCCCATGACAGCTCCCAGTGTATGATGTTCCCCACCCTGTGTCCAAGTGTTCTCATTGTTCAATTCCCACCTATGAGTAAGAACATGCAGTGTTTGGTTTTCTGTCCTTGCAATAGTTTGCTCAGAATGATGGTTTCCACCAGCTTCATCCATGTCCCTGCGAAGAACACGAACTCATTCTTTTTTATGGCTGCATAGTATTCCATGGTCTATATGTGCCACATTTTCTTAATCCAGTCTATCATTGATGGACATTTGGGTTGGTTCCAAGTCTTTGCTATTGTGAGTAGTGCCACAATAAACATACGTGTGCATGTGTCTTTATAGTAGCGTGATTTATAATCCTTTGGGTATATACCCAGTAATGGGATGGCTGGGTCAAATGGTATTCCTAGTTCTAGATCCTTGACAAAGTGCCACACTGTCTTCCACAATGGTTGAAGTAATTTATACTTCCACCAACAGTGTAAAAGTGTTGCTATTTCTCCACATCCTCTCCAGCACCTGTTGTTTCCTGACTTTTTAATGATCGCCATTCTAACTGGTGTGAGATGGTATCTCATTGTGGTTTTGATTTGCATTTCTCAGATGGCCAGTGATGGTGAGCATTTTTTCATGTGTCTGTTGGCTGCATAAATGTCTTCTTTTGAGTAGTGTCTGTTCATATCCTTTGCCCACTTTTTGATGGGGTTATTTCATTTTTTTCTTGTAAATTTGTTTAAGTTCTTTGTAGATTCTGGATATTAGCCCTTTGCCAGATGGGTAGATTGTAAAAATTTTCTCCCATTCTGTAGGTTGCCTGTTCACTCTGAGGGAAGTTTCCTTTGCTGTGCAGAAGCTCTTTAGTTTAATTAGATCCCATTTGTCTATTTTGGCTTTTGTTGCCGTTGCTTTTGGTGTTTTAGTCATGAAGTCCTTGCCCATGCCTATGTCCTGAATGGTATTGCCAAGGTTTTCTTCTAGGGTTTTTACAGTTTTAGGTCTAACATTTAAGTCTTTAATCCATCTTGAATTAATTTTTGTATAAGGTATAAGGGAGGAATCCAGTTTCAACAGAGTTATAGACCAATGGAACAGAACGGAGCCCTCAGAAATAACACCATGCATCTATAACCATCTGATCTTTGACAAACCTGACAAAAACAAGAAATGGGGAAAGGATTCCCTATTTAATAAATGGTGCTGGGGAAACTGGCTAGCCATATGTAGAAAGCTGAAACTGGATACCTATCCAATACTTCTAATAATACCTTACCTATCCAATAATAATACCTATCTGATACTTGTAATAATACCTATCCAATAATAATAAATATATTTTAAAACGTTCATTCTAAATTTATTTCTTCTGTGTATAGATACCATATAGATCAGACCAGGTTTTAAATAATTTAACAGTAAGATATTCTCTTATGAGTTTAAATTTATGTTTTGGTATTTTATCATTTTCTTTTTCCTTTCCAGCAAGGCTACACCAACACCTTCCTTGGGGACTGGAAACAAATCAGGATCTTAAGATTTCTTAATAATCTTAAGATTTAAATCAAAAGACTTCTAGGATTCTTTTTTCACCTGCTGTTTCTTTGTTATTTCATTGGACATCATTTTGGCAGAGTCTAAGACTTTAATTGCACTTTCATCTTCTAAAATGTTTCCTTCTGATGATGATAATGTTTCTAAAATTTTTTTCTCTATGTCTTTCAGCTGTTTCTTGTTAGCTGCAGACTGAAGAATCAGGGCATTTCGTTCCTCTTCTAATTCTGGTCTAAAAAGATAGAAACATTTAGTCCAAATTTGTAGTATTTTATCTAAATTTATATCTAAGTGTTACATATCACAAATTTGTAGACATCTAACACAAACTAAGGTGGTTAATTGCTTTAAGGGAAGAAAACTTTCACACATATAACTATTTGAGAAGTTCAAGCAAGAAAAGCATTAATTGTATACACGTAAAATGTGGCAATAACATGTGCCACAGTAAGTCTAAGAACACATTAGACTTATCCATATGGCATAGCTGGTATGCAAGAGTAAGAACTGGAGAAGAAACTCAAAGTATGAACTTCTTATCTATTTCTTGATTTTGTCATCACTAAGTCTCATTTTCATCATATTTTCTATAGTAGCACACATTGAAAGGATGACTGGTGATAAAGCTGGTTCTTTAAGTGAAAGGCAAAATTGGCACTTGTGTCAAAACATTTATATCAAACAAAAATGGGATGAAACTTCAAAATAACACAGTCTACCATGGAATAGAATAAGTTATGACATGGTTCCATATTGGACACTCTACAAGTGGGATTTAAATATTGGAAGAAACACTTCATGGTTACATATTTTCACTTTTAATTCGATTTCATTTATTAGACCACTTGATAATGCTACATTTAGATTCAAGTGAAATCAGATTTCCTTCCAGAAGCAATTCTTTACTAGTAGCCCTCCCAGGTACCATAGTGTTTTTCCTCATTTTAAAAAAAATACATATTTGGGGTTTTACATTTAAGTCTTTAATCCTTATTATAGGCACAGGCAAAGATTTCACGACAAAAACATCAAAAGCAACTGCAACAAAAACACAAATTGAAAAATGGGATCTAATTAAACTAAGGAGCTTCTGCACAGCAAAATAAACTATCAGAATGTACAGACAACCTACAGAATGGGAGAAAATTTTTGCAATCAATCCACCTGACAAAGGTCTAATATCCAGAATCTACAAAGAACTTAAACAAATTTACAAGAAAAGACAAACAACCCCATTAAAAAATGGGCAAAGGACATAAGGACACTTCTCAAAAGAAGATATTTATGTGGCCAACAAACATATGAAAACAAGCTCAACATCACTGATCATTACAGAAATGTAAATCAAAACCACAATGAGATACCATCTTATGCCAGTCAGAATGACGATTATTAAAAAGTCAAGAAACAGATGCTGGTGAGGCTGCAGAGAAATAGAAACGCTTTTACACTGTTGGTGGGAATGTAAATTAGTTTAACCATTGAAGACAGTCTGGTGATTCCTCAAAGACCTAGAACCAGATATACCATTTGACACAGCAATCCCATTACTGGGTATATACCAAAGGAATAGAAATCATTCTATTATAAAGGTACATGCACGTGTATGTTCACTGCAGCACTATTCACAATAGCAAAGACATGGAATCAACCTAAGTGTCCATCAACTATAGACTGGATAAAGAAAATGTGGTACATATACACCATGGAATACTATGCAGCCATAAAAAGGAACAAGATAATGTCCTTTGCAGAGACATGGATGGAGCTGGAAGCCATTATCATCAGCAAACTAACACAAAAACAGAAAACCAAACACCACATGTTCTCACTTATAAGTGGGAGCTGAAAAATATGAACACGTAGACACAGGGTAGGGAACAACACACACTGGGGCCTGTCAGGGTGGGTAGGAGGAGGGAGAGCATCAGGAAAAATAGCTAATGCATGCTGGGCTTAATACCTAGGTGATGGGTTGATAAGCGCAGCAAATCACCATGGCACACGTTTACCTATGTAACAAACCTGCACATCATGCACATGTATCCTGGAACTTAAAATAAAAATAGTACATATATAAAGTATAAAGAAAACAATAAAACTTACCCATAATCTTACCACCACAGAGATAATTACTTTAACATTGAAGTGTATTCCTTTCCAATCTTTTTTTATTCTTTTTATATATGTAGATAAATATCAATCTTTTTTTAAACAAAATATCACCTATTCTGGATATAGTTTTATATGCTGCTTTTTCCTTCTTTTGCTAAGCATTTTCTTATTAATATCTTGTGTGTGTGTACACATATATATATATATATAAATGTATTTCTATTTACGGTCATAGCATAGATTCCTAGGGGTGAAATTTCTGTCTCATTCAGGTACAAGTCAGAAGTCATGGTGTCAGAGGAATTTGAACCAGAGCAACTCCATCTTGAGCAGGGGGTGGGTAAAATGTGATTAAAACCTACTGGATTGCATTCCCAAACGGTTGGGCATTCTAAGTCACAGGATGAGATAGGATGTCAACACAAGAAACAGATCATAAAGACCTTGCTGATAAAACAGATTACAGTAAAGAAGCTGGCTAAATCCCACCAATACCAAGATGGCCACAAAAGTGACCTCTGGTCCTCCTCACTGCTACACCCCACCAGTGCCCTAACAGTTTACAAATGCTATGACAATGTCAAAAAGTTACCCTCTATGGTCTAAAAAAGGGAAGCATAAATAATCCCTTGTTTGGCATATAATCAAGAAATAACCATAAAAATGGACGACTAGCAGCCCTTGGGGCTGCTCTATGGAGCAGCCATTCTTTTATTCCTTTACTTTCTTAATAAACTTGCTTTCATTATACTCTGTGGACTCGCCCTGAATTCTTTCTTGCATGAGATCCAGCAACCCTTTCGTGGAGTCTGGATCGGGATCCCTTTCCTGTAACAATGGCAGGTAACCTGAACCCAACTGCCCATACTAAAAGCCCAATATAACACGGTTGGCTTATAACTTACTTGTTACAGATGGCTATTTTAGAGATTATGTGATTATTTATAGTAACAAAGTATAAAATTTGACAAAGTTTTAAAATATTCACAAAACATAAATATTAATGACCTACAAATATTCCTTTTTAAACCATCTAGAAGCATCTAAGAAAATACATACCTCTCCTTTGCAACAACAATACCTAGTAATTGATCTTCAAGTCCTTCTGGAGTTATCATGAAATTGAGCAAAGACACTTTTGTAGCCAGTTCTGGCATATAGTGCGGGTTTCTCAGTTTTGTGGTGATATAAAATTTGAAATCAAAGGAATACTCAATAATGACCTCACCAAGTCTGATGCAATCAATGCCACCTATATTTCAGAAAACAAATGCATAACAAGTGAGCTAGTTACATAGCCCCTCATGCTATGTACTTCTATGGCCTTGCCTAGGTTACAAATAAACGGTCCTAAAGTAATTTAAAATAGAAAACAGGGCCAGGCTCAGTGGCTCACACCTATAATACCAACACTTTGGGAGGCCAAGGCAAGTGGATCACTGGAGGTAAGGAGTTCAACACCAGCCTGGCCAACATGGTGAAACCCCATCTCTACTAAAAATACTAAAAAAATTAGCTGGGTGTCATGGTGGAACACACCTGTAATCCCAGCTACTTTGGAGGCTAAGGAACAAGAATCGCTTGAACCCAGGAAGCAGTGAGCTGAGACTGCACCACTACACTCCAGCCTGAGCATCAGAGCAAGACTCTGTCTCAAAATGATAATAATAACATACAGAAAACAGGAGTGGCAAAAGTCACAGACACAGCAGCAAGTAAGCAATTATACAGCAGGACTCTTTCTGGGTTAATATAGGACATTTTCTCTGGTTGTCATAGAGCTTTGTAAATCAAGATTTATTTTGAGCTTTCTTCCTCCATCAATTTTCAATCATGATTCTAAAATATATGTAAATGACTAAAGCTCTTAAAGGTAATAGCACTTGGCAGAGACAAATTTTTATAAACAGAAAGATATTAGCTGGACAATGTTTACCTAAACTCAACTCAGGCCCACATTCACCATCACTATTCATGGTGGCTAATTCCTGTAATCCCAGCACTTTGGGAGGCTGAGGGAGGAGGATCACTTGAGGCCAGGAGTTTGACACCATCACTATTCATAACAACAGACTTTTGGTGGTCAAGGGTCACAGGATAAAGCAATTTCAAGCTGGCTTCAACTTCTTTATGTTCTCTGACAGTCTAGATAACAGTGGTTAAGGCAATGAAGAGAGGGCAAGGTATTTATCTTAGAATACCTGGCTAAGGTTCATTCCTGATAGCTTGTTCCAAATTTCCTTTCACTCATAACAATGAGCCAGAAGTTCTGCATTATTAACATTATTATTAAATGTATGTAGTAGGCTTCTTTCATGCCTCCAAGATAATTCAATCATCTTTCAGTTCTACAGATTAATAGTAATTGCTTTATACCTTGTTTAAAAGTTTGTCTGAGTAGTAAAGGCTCCAAAGATGGATCCAGTTCTTCACCAACATTTTCTAATAGAAGTGGAGTTCCAAACTGAATACAGTTTTCCAATGTTCTCATATAGTCTGAATCTGATAGCTTAATAACACTAAGCTGATTTTCTTTTTCAGAGTTTTTGATCCACTTATTGGCTTGACCCTGGGGGTCAATCATTAAAGGCCTAGAATATAATAAGAAAAATTCTGAGAGGAAGACATAGACGTTGAGATTTCTTTAAAATTATATAAATAATAAACATCACCATCAATCTGTACAAAGTATTTCACATACATTATCAGCATTACTCTTCACAAAAGTCCTATGAGAAAAAAATGAAAAGGAGTTTTTTTTTTTCTTTCTTATTTATTTTTCAAATGAAGAAATTCAGTCTCAGGAAGTACTCTGCCCAAGGTCCCAAGGTTCCAAAACTAGTTCAGTGTTAGAAGTAGTAGGACCTTGTGAATCTACGAGCTCTGCTCTTCCCAATATAATATGCTGTCTTCATGGTAACTTTAATACACGACATCTGTTAACATAATATGAAAATAATACTATAAAATATTTGATAAACATTTAAAACAAGAGATCCACTAGCATAAAAGGGATTTCCTCAGATTATGAGTAGAATTACAAACTGTGTCCAAGTTTAGGGTGGTATATATCTGAGATCTATTTAGGAGTTTCTTCTGAGTTAGTAAAGACTGTGTTCAAGAACATATGATTCATGGTTCAGATGTGTAATATATGATGTGCTTTTCTCTTCCTCATGGATGATGCTGACTGTCCTAGGTTTCTCTTGTATTCAGTACAGTACATTAAATTTTCTTTTAAAAATATAGCACAGATGCCGGGCACGGTGGCTCAGGCCTATAATGCCAGCGCTTTGGGAGGCCAAGACGGGCAGATCACCCGATGTCAGGAGTTCAAGACCAGCCTGGCCAACATGGTGAAAGCCCGTCTCTACTAAAAAAAAAGTAAATAAATACAAAAATTAGCTGGGCGCAGTGGTGGGTGCCTGTAATCCCAGCTACAGGGGAGGCTGAGGCAGGAGAATCGCTTAAACCCGGGAGGTAGAGATTGCAGTGAGCTAAGATTGCGCCACTGCACTCCAGCCTGGGCAACAAAGATTGAAACTCCATTAAAAAAAAAATATATATATATATATATATAAAACTGTATTTAATTATATATATAATTTTTACATATAATATAGAATTTTAATTATATATTATAAATTATATATATTTAATATTTATAAATATTTAAATAAATAAATAAATAAATATATATAAATAACAGAAAAGGGAGTTTTTGTCCCATGTCACTTCAGCTTTCCCATTCTCTTTCTATTCCAACAGCTTCTAGGGCTAGGGCTAAAATCCCCTTTCCCTATGAATAAGCTCTTTAATTTATTCTCAAATAACTGTGTTCTTTTAGTTTCTTTCTTTCCCCAAAGACAAAACTAGCTGACTAGATGTTTTCTTTCTTGGCTCTAATTGTGCTGAAATCCCACCTAAAGTACAAAAAGGTCCAGACGGTACTTAAAATCTACTTTTCCTACCACAGCAAGAAAGCAAACAATAAAGTTATTTTTTCATAGAAGTTACCTAGTAGTTAGACTAGTAAATGCTTTTAGTACCTTTCAAGCCCCTGTTTAAAGAGATATTATTTTCTTCCTTTCATGTCTTTATTATTGGAAAAATACAGTAAGTGTTCATTCTCTCACAAAATGTAACATCTATAAATTAACATTCTAATGTTAATAAATGTCCTTGGTAATGCCTAAATAAATGTTCTTGGTTATCCAATAATTAGAGATTCTTGTCTACTCTGAAAGAAATCTGACTTCTATTTAATATAACCTTATGTGAATACTGGAAAATTGGATTGTTGTGTCCATCATAGAAATAAGGCCAGGCCATGGTATTTGCATTCTAAGTATACCTTACTCTAGGTATGAAAATAATACTAGGCTACATTTGAGATCTTTGAGCAGTCTGAAGAAAGCAGCATTATCCATCTATGTTTCTGACAGAGGTGGTAATTTGGAGGAAAATAAGCTTTGCTGTTAAGTAGCCAAAGCAATGTATAAACACTAAAAAAGGAACAGACTATTTTGCATTTTATTTGTTTGTCTCCTACCTCCACCTAGGAGACATAGTAAGTGTTTTCATCATGGTTGAAACATAGCAAAATCAGAGCTTAAGATATAGACTAAAATGAGATATTCAAAGATAATTATAAAAAACTAACATTTCTTGAGCACTTATGTGCTAAGTGCTTTCTCACAACATTTCTATGAAGTAGGAGTTATTTTCACTTACAGATGGGGAAACCAAGGCATTGAGAGGTCAAATACGTTACCAAAATCTCAAGACAGAAAGTGAGGAAGCTTGAACCCAAATGTCCTGACTCCAGAGTCTGAACTGCTCTCAACCATTGCACAATATTATAAACAGACAAACTGTTAGAAACTATAAAGAGCAAGCACAATGATTAATTATAAACTATGGTCACAACAGCATGACTGGCTAAAAATCCTTCTTCCTCCTAGTACTGATGGATAAAATATGACATTATTTTAAATGCACAGGTTAATTGAGGCTTGCATTTAAAAGACACATACATACATCCACACATATCTAATACATAGATACAGAAAAACACAGGTGCCCAAACAGATAAAACTAAAATCCAGAACAGTAAGTTTGTGAGCTAAACTGACACCTGGACTTGGGAAGAGTATCAGTCTGATAACCTAGAGGCTCACTAGGTCCATATGTTGGGGGAGGCTGGAACTGAGACCTTTGCATGAAGCTGAAACTCACAAAAGGCTTAATGAAGTCACTGACAGAAAAATTTCAAGCCTATGCATAAAGAGATAAGAAGGAAATGTTTTGATTCCCATCTCATATCTGGCTAGGAAAAAGTGTCCCCTGAAAATGTGAATGTGTAGCTGTGGGTCTATATCTCATACAGGTTTAGGATATAAATTTATACCACCTGCATGACTGAGGAAACTCCAAGATGGAAAATTAACATGTTTGTGGCCAGCAATACACCAAAGAATCCTGGAAGAAGCAAAGGCAACACACACACTGCAGCTGAAAGTAGATTTGAAAGTTTACCCCTACTGCCACTCCAGTGGTTCCCCAACTGAAGTTTAGTTTTTTTTATTCTTGGAAAGCATAATATATATATAAATATCAAAGATAAGAAAAATTTTAATGAAATGTCTTCTTTTAACATCTTAACATATACTCACAGTATTCATTTCTTACAAAATGACTTGTTCTTTGATTTTAGGCTATTAATGGTAAATTACTTTAAAAATGTATTTGTATTTCTTAAGTGTAGCATTTCATACTAAAAATCACCGAATTGTACAATTTAAAAGGGTAAATTTTATGGTACATGAATTATATATCAATACAGCTGTTAAAAATGATGGGAGGTGGGGGCACTACAAATGCCTGTAGTTCCAGCTACATCAGGAGGCTGAGCCCAGGAGGTCAAGGCTGCAGTGGGCCATGATTGCACTACTACACTCCAGCCTAGGTGACAAACTGAGACCCCCATCTCAAAACACGCACACACACACACACACACACAAACACACGTGCATACACACCTGGACACATCAAACTGCTGAAAACTAAAGACAGAGAAAAATTGGAAAATTTCCAGAGGGAAAAAAAGATACATTACATAAAGAGGAACTAAAGTAAGACTTAGAGTAGACTTCTCATCAGACTATGTAGGTCAGAAGCAATGTAGTGACATCTTGAAAGAAAAAACAAAAAGCCCCAAAACAAAAGCAAAAAGCAAAAAACAACTGTCAACCCAGAATTCTAAACTCAGCAAAAAAAAAAAAAAAAAAAAAAAATTCTTTCAAAATGAAGATGAAATAAAGACTTTTTTCAAGGTTGGTTAATAGATACAGAAATATAGTTAAGTAGAAGGCACAAGATCTAGCATTTGATAGTGCAGTAGGGTAACTATAGTTAACAATAGTTTATTGTATAATTCAAAACTGCTAGAAAAGAAGAATTGGAATATTCCTGACATAAATAAAATATAAATGTTTAAAGTGATGAATACCCCATTATCCTGATTTGATCACTGTACATGGAATGAATGTATTAAAATACCACATATATCCTTGAAATATGTACAACTATTACATATTAATTGTTTTAAAAGATTTTTTTTAGGCCAGAAAAAGAAAAAAGCTGAATTCACTGCCAGTAGACCTGTTCACATGAAGTGTTAAAGGACATTCTTCAGGCAGAAGAAATGTGAAACCAAACAGAAACTCAAAGAAATTAAGAGTTCCCAAAATGGAAAAAAGATGAAGGTAAACATAAGACTTTTTTTCTTATATTTAATCACTCTAAAAGATAAATTATTGTCTAAAGTAAAAATAAAGAGAATGTATTATAGAATTTATGGCATATGAAAAAGTGAAATATATAACAGCACAAAAGACAGAAAAGAGAATTATACTGTTGAAAGATATTTACGCTATATATATAATAGCATAAAATTATTTGAAGATATTCAGTAAAGAACTAGAGATGGATGATATTATAAATACCAGCACAAACACTAAAAATAGGGAGTGTTTAACCAATAAGCCAATGTGGACATAAAATGGAATCATAAAAAACAAATTCAGTTAATCCAAATCCAAGAAGAAAAAGAAGAAAAAAGGAACAAAGAACAAAGGAGACAAATAGAAAAGAACAAGATGGTAGATTTAAATCTAAGTGTATCAATAATTCCACTAAATGTAAATGATCTAAATACTGTGATTAAAAATAGAAAGAAAAAGTCATTTTAAAAGCAATTCACAAGTCCTCACTAAAATTAGAAAGACTAAAGGGACAAAACAGTGAGGAAATAATGGATAACTCAACAAATAGTGCTGGAGTAAATGGCTATCATTATAAAAATAAATAAAATTACCTTTCATCATGTCCAAAAATGCAAAAAGAAGGAAGCAAACACGAGAGTCCTAACTGTAAAAAGTACACTGCTTTTCCAGGTCATGACTCTTTTTCTGAGAACTACACTCCTGGTCTTCAATACTCATGTTTGTTACTCTGGCTTGGGTCCCGCAGCTGTAAGTTACTAGACCTAAGGTGAATATTTGTCCCAAGCTAGACCAATCAGATGTTTTTCACAGGAATTAGAATTTGGACTCAGTGGTTATAGTTAATCTATATTACTCAACTGATTTTTTTTTTTTTTTGAGACAGAGTCTCACTTTGTCACCCCAGCTGGAGTGCAGTGGCGCAATCTTGGCTCACTGCAACCTCCACCTCCCAGGTTCAAGTGATTCTCCTGCCTCAGCCTCCTGCGTAGCTGGATTACAGGTGCACACCACCACACCTGGCTAATTTTTTTTTTTTTTTTGTATTTTCAGTAGAGGTGGGGTTTCACCATATTGACCAGGCTGGTCTTGAACTCCCGACCTTGTGATCTGCCTGCCTCAGCCTCCCAAAGTGCTGGGATTACAGGCGTGAGCCACCGTGCCCAGCCCACAACAGCCATTTTCTAAATTGCAATTTAAACAATCTGAATGGTCACGAAACACATGGAAATGGGTTCTAAAACAGAATTAACCGACTCAAGGGTCTAATATTCTGTTAAACAGAATGATCCCTGCTCTACCACAGAACACATTTTTTATAACCAAAATATATTCTTTTTCAGATTATATTAAATTTTGCTTATTGCCGATAAGTTTCAACCTAAGTATCTTTGCTCTCAAGTAAAGTTTTGAGTGCAAACTCAATATGATTATACACATTCTTATTTTATTAAAACAATACTGTCAATATAAACAGGAGTTGTTTTGAAGCTTCCAGAAAGATTTGCAAAGAATATAAAACAAACAATAACTCAAACTTTCAGGATGTTAGATTTCCTTATATCTTTAATTTATCTCATCTAAAAGAAGAGTGAAATTTCCATTATGGTTTTAAAGGCAGTGAGTGTGATATCCTATTCTACAATTCACTCCAGCATAGTAATTAAGGGCAAGGATTTGAAAGTCAGATTGCCTGGATTCAAATTCTGACTCTATCACTTATTCACTAAGTTATCTTTACTAATTTAAAATTACTAAATCATTCTGGGCTTCAATTTCCTCATCTATAAAATGGGATAATAATAATACCTAACTCACAGGATGTTGTGAAGATGTAGGGCACTTAGACTAGTATCTGATAAATCTAAGAGCTCCATAGTATCTATCACAGCATATTTGAGACACAGTCCCATGAAAAGACTTTTAAAATTAGATGATAGTGTCACTACATAACCATTATAGAAAACTATTTCTCAAAGGAAAGTAGTTTTCCAAGTTTTTCAAAGTGATATAAATAAAAGGATAACAATAAAGGCCATTTGAAAAGTTTTTATAGTTATCAGACTAACAATGATAGCTAATAAAAAAGGTACCCATGAAATTGCATAAATTATCAAGTTACTGTATCTTGAAGATGGGTAGCAATACCTAGTTAAAACAAGTACATTGTATAGCCAGAAACTAGAAATAGCCCAGAGGTCCATCAGTAGGAGAATACATAAACAGTGATATATTCATAAAATGGAACTCAGCAACAAAAAATAGGAACAGAGTACCAATGCATGCAATAACATGGATAAATCTCAGAAAAAAATATGCCAAAAGAAGCCTTACCCAATAACATATACATTATGATTCCTTTATATGAAATTCTAGAAGTAATCCATACAAAAATAACCTAGGCAAAACTAACCTATGGCGGGAAATAATCAGAACAATTATTTCCTGGGGTGGGATGAGGGTAGGGATTTACTGGAAAGGAACATGAGGAGACTTCCCTGGTGGTAGTCATGTTTTGTATCTTGATAGAGATTTGGGTTACACCAGTGTATATCTTTGTTAGAACTCACTGAATGGTATGGTTTTGTGTATTTCATGTATGTAAATTTTACCTCAAAAGAATAAAACATAAGCAAATATTGAACTTTAGTTGATGATATGCATGCTGAAGTACCTGGAAGGAAGCATACCTATGTCTGCCATTTACATGGAAATGCATTTTAAAAGATGGGTTGACGGAGTGATAGAGGGAAGGACAGGTACATGATAAAGCAGCAAGAATACTAAAATGTTAATTGCAGAATCTAGGAGGTGGTAGTTATATTGGTGCTTATGATAAAATTCTTTCAACGTTTCTATATGTTTGAAAACTTTCAAACAGAACAACAGAAAAAACAAATAGTTTATATTTCTTACCAACGCCTACAGTTGTTAACGATCACTCCGTTATCTATGGAAAATGTATCTGTTGGTAAACCAGCAATATTCCAAGCTCTAATTTTTACTGGATCACCCAGGGTTTTACTCAACAAGAACTCCTCTGAACACGGGATTTTTTTCTTCTGTAAGAAATAAACAAAAATCTATTTTCCTTCACCTTGTTAACTGAAATATTTTTTAAATTAAAATATTGGTTTAGTTGTCACTAGGCATTATTTAATAACTCTAAGGAACAGAAAGAAAAGAAATTAAAAGTTGAATAGTGGAAGTATTTTACTGATGAAACAAGAAGCAAAAAAAGAAAGACCCCATGTTTTCAGTTATTTCTTCTCTTCTGCCATTATTATCATCCTTTCCCCCAAAATATCCCAAAACATACTTTGGATGTTCTAAAACAAGACTTACAAAATATAAAACCACTACCTTGCACAACATGCTCCAATCTTTTGTACATGTTTGTCGAAAGCCAGAAGTGAAAGCACCAAGGTAAGCTATTACTCCTGCTGATACTAAGACATCGCCAGTTAAATTTTCATATGTTATCTGAAGGTCATCTGCAGCTTGGGCCCATCTGTGCCATCAACCAAAGGCAAAACAGATTTACAACAGAGAATGATGGGAGACAGTAATATAAAGGGCAAGGGTTTCCAGTCCAATTCTGTAACAAAAAGCTATAAAATTTGGACACCTGCTTATCTGTAAAATGAGGTTGGAACCCTTCTAGCTCTTATACGCTATAACATGTATCTATATTATGTGAATGACAATCTTCCTTTCATTATTAGAATATTAGACATTTCTTGCAGGACTTGGCCCTTCAGAAAAAGAAAAAAAAAAACAAAACCCAAACACCAACATTTTGCCTAATAATTTTCTCTTGGATGATTTGGTCTAGTGGCTGTGCTATTTGTTTTAGTATTTATTGTTAGACTGTAAAACATACGAACATTTGCAATTCATTACCAAAAATTACATTTAAGCTGTATAGAAGCTGACATACTAAGATTGGTATTTTTCCCATTTAATGAAACCCATACAATAAAAAAGTGTATTCCAAAACTATCTAATCTGTACTACAAAGTCTTGTCAAAGACACATTGTTACTTTATCATGCTATTCATTCAATGAATAGAATAAATGAAACAGCTGGCTGTCCAATCCAAGTAAATACATTAGAATAAAGCTTACTGGCTTTGTTAGATCAAGCCAGTTATATCTTCCTTAACATAAAATTTAACCAATGAACCATGCATTCACTGATCCCTCCAAACATTACAAAAAATTTTGAACATACATAAAATTGGAAAGAACTGTACAACAAACAACTACATACTTACCACTTGGATTTAAAAAATTGTTACCATTTGCCTTGTTTGCCTCTTTTAAAAGACCATGTGAAAGCAATTTGTAAACACCATCCTCAAGACTGATATCCTTGTTTGGAGAAGCCTGGCCAGGTGTCTTCCAGAATGTCCCACATTCTCAACCAGCCATTGTAAAATCAGTAATCACAATAAATACCCAAAGAAGGTCACATATTCAAGGCTGACATTCCTAAATCTTGCTAAAACAAATAGAAATCTGACCTTGATTTTTCTCCACCCAGTCCTCCAATTAATTGTGAGGCTCTTTCAAGCTTCTTAGCACAGAGTTCCACCTGGTCTTCTAAAGCAGCCTTTTCCTCTGTTTTCTCAAGAAATGTCATTTGTAAATTTTCCAGATGATGTTCTACTTCTGCCAGTTCTGCTCTCTTCTGATTCAAAAGCTCCATTGTCTCAGCTAAAGACTTCTGAGCTTCTGATAAGCGAGCTTTCTTAGGAGCCACTACCTTTTTGGGAAGAATATATGCAGATATGATGTGTACTTTGTAAAACTGATATCTATATAATTCCTCCCTTATAAATATTATGGATTAGAAATGCATTGTAATAAATTATATAAACATTTTGCCTTAAATCTTCTGTTTTCACATACAAAGTAAAATATACCTATATATTTTATAAAATAGATAAATCTGGACTAGCAAATTGTTACCTATAAAATAGATAATTTATACTAGGCTAACAAAATGTCAAAATATGTAGCAAAAATGTCACAAGATGTCTCAAAATAATGAGAAGGTGTCACTTAACTGTTGTCAAATAACAGAAAAACATATAACATGAAATAATAAGTGTTTGTTTAAACACATGAATATGTTTTGGGTGTTTTTTTTTTCCTTTCCAAGCTTGTGATTTTCTTCCCAGTCAGACTGAGGCTTACATCTGCCTTGCCAGGATTAGAGCAGTGATGGTGGAAATAAAAAGGAAGAAAACCTCAATGCTCAGTTTCACTACCAAAACTGAATTTTCCCCAACAAATACTGAAAAGCCACACTTGACTGAGAGAAAAGGGATTTCCTAAAGTTTTTTTGTTATGCTCATCAGGCTATCAAGAATGCAGTTTGGCCAACTGGATCACCAAGCATCCTCCAAGCCCTTGGTACAAAGAATGGAGAAGATGACCAGAGAGAGTGTGTGCCTGTTAGAAAGAAGATAGACCTAACTCTTCTGGTAAATTGCTGTGAATGAAGCTGAAGGCAAGGAGGGACAAGAGAGAGAGAGCAGTGTATCAGACACAAAATGCCCTGCTTTCTCTCTGCTGCACTGAAATCATGAAAGAAAATGTGTTAAATAAGTAGACAGAAAGCAGGAAGCTCTCTTTTCTGCTTCTGACTTCAGAGAAGACATTGTTGCATATTTCTCTCCCATGCTTCTGTATCAGCATGGGGCAGCTTGTATCAGAATAAAAATGGCAGTGTGGAGTTATAGAGTGGGAAGGCAGGAAAAAGCCTGAGTGCCTTGGCTTCTCTGCTTTGTAGAAAGGATCCACAAGATTCCACACATCTGTGGAACATGTGGAAATTAGCTGAGCTACCATGAGACTACTGTGTGAAGGGACAAGATGTTTAATGGAAAGACATCCTAGATAAAATTAATTTTATTTCTTTAACAGGTTTATTCAGGTCTGCTCCTTTGAAACTAACAAAGTCTCTATCTCTCTACAGGTACATGTACATATATCATTTAGGAAGACCTTCCCAATTATTACAGTTTGATCATTTATTCTATCTTCTGAGCTTGTTTTAAACACAAGCTACCATATATTTTCATCTACACCTTTTTATTTATATTTCTTTCTTCCTTAGGTAGAATTCTGCAAGCTGCAAGGGCAAAGCCTTTGTTGCCCTGGTCCTTTGCTAGCCAAATTTAGAAAATGCTCTTAACTATTCTCTGCTCTCCCAGAAATTTGGACCCAGTGGGTATTCCATAAAAGGTTCTATGTCAAGGCATGTTCTTGTTTCAGGGGATCTTTCCATGCTCTGCCTCTTAACTCTGCTGGATCCTCTTACTTCTGATCCTTTGAATCAACTTTTTAATCTGGCACTTTCCCCTTGATGTTTTAGATTTTTCTTTGCTTCTGCCTCATCAAATCTTAATTCCGTTTTCTCCTGGGTCCTAAAGCTATAAGTAAATCTGACTAATTCTACTCATGATCCCTGCTCCTGCATCACTACCACCCACACCAGCCCCAACCAGGTTATGTTATGCACAAATATTCTCCTCGTCTGCTAGGTATGCAATCGATATATGATAGTACACTACAGCAGAACAAATTCTCTGTGTGGTCACTTTGAGAAACTTCTTAACCAGTAAATATAAGCACAGATTCTAATTCCTGGGAATATCTTAGTAGAACACAGATGTGCTAATGTTGAAAGTACCTTTGCAACTCTGTCGTACACTTCCATGGCCATGATCCACTTACACAGACCCTCAGCTGCAGAAGAAGCTTTAGCAACCTTAGGGGGATCAAATTCAGGGTTCATTAAGTATTCACTACGAATCTTCTGCATAACAGTCACCTATACAACAAAGATTTAAATTTTAAAATTTCAATATAGATCACATAATCATCAGATGGAAAAAAATCATATACAATAAAAACATTTATATAAAAAAGTTAATGTTGGCTTTAAAAGCCAAAATAAGTATTTTGAAATAATTTAAAAATAAGCATAATTGTAGCAGAAGTATGTCATATTTGTGAGCAAAATATGCAAATGTATTACAGATATTAAGGCAAAATGTTTCTTCCAAAAATATTAAAAGACTTACAAGTTTAGGCTGGGTGCAGTGGCTCACACCTGTAATCCCAGCACTTTGGGAGGCCAAGGCTGGCAGATCACTTGAGACCAGGAGTTCGAGGACAGCCTGGCCAATATGGTAAAACCCTGTCTCTACTAATAGTACAAAAATTAGCTGGGCATAGTGGTGGGTGCCTGTAATCCCAGCTACTCAAGAGGCTGAGGCAGGAGAATTGCTTGAACCTAGGAGGTGGAGGTTGCAGTGAGCCAAGATCCCGCCACTGCACTCCAGCCTGGGTGACAGAATGAGACTCTGTCTCCCAAAAAAAAAAAAAAAAAAAAAAAAAAAGACATAAGTTGAGAGAACAAATGGAAACAATGGAAAAGAACAATTAAACATTAAGAATAAGAATTTGAATAGAAAATAATATGCTATACTTTTTAAATCTTACATAAATTTGTGTATCAGATTTCTTAATAATTAATTTATCATAACAAGACATTTAGACAACTCTTTCAACTCAATTATACACTAAAAGAGTATCTTCTTAAATAACTTTTTAACTATCTGAGACAGCAATGGTTTTAAACATTATGAAAACTCATAGTATCATTAATAAAGGTAATATCTCTTTATTAATTATCTTAATCCTAAAATGGACTATTTCTGTATGTGTTGTAAACTATTGCATAATATTAACGTTCTTAAACATTTTAGCCAAGTCACATTTGTAGAAAAAAACCCAATGCAACTCACTGGAATGTTGTCCTTGTCATATTCTTTCAAATCTCTTAAGAAATTCATATCTCCCAGAAGTTTTTTGCTAGGTCCCCAGTAATCTAATATCTACAAATAAAATTTATGGAAATTTGTTAAATTTGCAACTAAAAATGCTAGATGCAAAATTTTTCTTCTTGAAGTTTAAGAGGCATTATCCAGAGAAACTAATCATATACTTTTTGTTTGTTTTGAGATGGAGTCTCGCTCTGTCGCCCAGGCTGGAGTACTGTGGTGCAATATCGGCTCACTGCCTCCCAGGTTCAAGTGATTCTCCCACTTCAGCCTCCCGAGTAGCTGAGACTACAGGCTTCTGTCACCACACCTGGTTAATTATTGTATTTTTAGTAGAGAGGGGGTTTCACCATGTTGGCCAGGCTGGTCTCCAACTCCTGACCTCAAGTGATCCACCTGCCTCAGCCTCCCAAAGTGCTGGGATTACAGGCGTGAGCCACCATGCCCAGCTTAATCACATACTTTCAAAATATCAACTTACATCTCCTTGGAAATTAAGACTTTCCTCAAGAACATGTTAAACATAAAATATTTTTAAATATGGAAATGCATTTATAGACTGAATTTGTTTAAAAAAGTAAACACTGAAAGGAAAATAATGGTTATTTCTTTTGAAAACTTAAGCTACTTGCATAAACGCCATCACAATTTCATATAAGAAAATAAATTTTTATTACTTCTAAATTTATTTTCCTTTATTCTTTGACTCTTTCAAATAAGAAAAGTAGCAAACTTTTTCTTAAAGACAAATTCCGCACTTACCTAGGCTCTCCAAGCGAAATTAAAGGAGAAAGCAGAAGGCCAAAGAGTACACATTGCTCTGCCAACCATAGGGTAAAAGCACATGCTACATATATTGGCAAAAGAGCTGAAATAACCAGCTGAAAGTTCTTTTTTTCTACTTCCGGAAGCCTGATAGGGAGGTGTGTGTGTGTGTGTGTGTGTGTGTAAATGAGAATAACTTAATAAGGTAAGAGCCTATATATTTTCTTTATTATCTCAATGAAGGACAGAATGGCCAAAAAAAAAAATCTAATTCTTTAATTCAGGAATTTAAACCCAGGTATTAGAAAAACCTGAAAATAAAATTAGTCTGTAAATTCAGTTTAGAATGGATACTATGCCTTCCTTTTTAAGGGATGTATCCTGGAATAATAATTATAATAATAACAGCTAACATTTATTGTGTACTTATTGTTTGTGAGGCTTTACACCTAAGAACTTTATATGTATTAACTAATCTAATTCTCTTATTAGCTTTTTGAGGTAGATACTATGAGTACCATCTTTTTTTAATGGAATTCCACACATGTTAAATACCTTAACCAAGGTCACACTGCTAGTGGGGTCCGGATTTCTGAATACAGACATTCTAGCTCCAGGGCACATGCTTTTAACAACTTTGCTATACTGCTTAACTCAGATGTTTTGGAATACCCAGAAAGGATCTTAGCTGGAAAAGTACAGGCACCTCAGTGTTCATTTAGTTCCAAGCCCATGGTAGTGGAGAATTCTGCATAGACAGAAAAGGAGATGGAAGCAACTAGAACCATATATATATATTTTTTTTTTTAGCTGAAGTCTCACTTTGTCACCCAGGCTGGAGTGCAGTGGCACAATCTTGGCTCACTGTAACCTCTGCCTCCTGGGTTCAAGCAATTCTCCTGTCTCAGCCTCCTGAGTAGCTGGGATGACAGGTGCCCACCACCGCACCTGGCTAATTTATATATTTTTAGTTGAGACGGGGTTTCACCAGGTTAGCCAGACTGGTCTGGAACCACGTTTTTTGACACTACATTGTCTTAGCTTTACCCTAGAATATATACAGACAATATCTGGAAAACAATGTTTCTTCCCTAATTTGGGTACTGTTGATATTTGATAATAGTTGCTGCTGACAAGTTCTATACATTCATGAATATGATTCAAATCTGTGTCAAGTTATTACCTTGCCTCCAGTCCCTGAAGGATCTGAAATTTTTTCTGGTTTTATATCTTTCATGACACAAACAGCAGCCATAACTAGTTTAACACCAGATGGAGGATTCTTCATTGATTTCACAATCGTAATGTCGGCTGGCTAAAAGAAAAAAACAAAAAACAAACAGGACATATTCAGAATAGTTTACTTTTAAATAATGAAAAATTTTAAAGTAATGTTGGGGAATAATAAAAGCATCCCTTTTTATTTGAAATCAAAGTTTTTTTTTTTTCTTTTTTTACTTCAGGTTATGAAAGAATTAACAAAAGAGAATTCAGCACAGATTAAGACTAATGGTTCTCAAATGTTGGGAGGGGTCAGTCATAGATGCCTATGAGAATATAATGGCAGCTATAAATCCACCAGAAAATATAATTTTTCACATATACAATCACATACCACACCCATACGTGGAACCTAAGTTAAGAATCCTAATTTAGACAAAGACTTAACTCTATATTTGCTTATATATATTAGTTCTATTGAAGAAGATGAAAGAAGAGGTACGTCCCAATTCCAAACCTATTTTCTAAAAAGGTATATATTGTTATAATAGATAGTATAGATTCACTTACCCACTCCAATATATTTCTGACATTCCTTGCAAGATGCAAATGCTGGAAAGCTAACAACTATATATCTTAGTTTTTCATGCAATTAAAGTTCTGGGTGAGAATTAGATTCCAGATCACTTGAGTGATACTAGAATTCAGACAAATGGGGAGAGTGGCAGGGTGCAAGACATCCATTGTGACAATATAGATTACAGTGGAGGTTACGTGGCAGTGTAGGAAGCTCTGGAGGCTTCCTACTCAGAGAGACAGCTGCTCTAGTAGACCATTTCTGCAGCGTGGCTTTGTGAGTCATTCCTGGAAGCTCAGCCTGGGATCTGATTCTTTTACCTCTTCCAACAATTCTGTAATCCATTTATAAAATTCCCTGAAGAATCTTTGTCTACTTATACTAAAATCAACTCTCTTCTCTGAAACTGAACTCTAACTCAGGTAATACAGCATTTGATATCAGGAAGGGTATAAGCAACAGACTCTCAATGAAAGGGGAACCTAATATTAATGACCTAAATTGGTGAGAGTTTGAAGCCATCAAGAATCCTATATCAGGGGATGGAGTGCTGCAGATTCATGGAACATAGGGAGAAGTTACTTAAATTAATGCTCATGGTCACCTAGAATGGAGTGCCTCTTAAAGGCTTTGTCAAACTAAGTAGCTGCTGTAATAAATCTCTAAGGAGAGAATGCAGAAAGATCACAGGGTAATAAGTGACTCTTAAATGTGCCAGAAATTAGCCAGGCATGGTGTCATGTGACTGTAGTCCCAGCTACTCAGGAAGCTGAGTTGGGGTGGGGGGCGGGGGGGATTACTTTAGCCCAAAAGTTTCAGGTTGTGGTGAGCTATGATCACATCGTTGCACTCCAACCTGGGTGACAGAGTGAGACCCTGTCTTAAAAAAAAAAAAAAAGGAGAAAAGAAAAGAAAAAAAGTACTGAGAGCATGAAGAAAGAATATAGTAAGCTCAGAGTTTTAAATTCCTGATTCACAGCACTAGGAAATTTCTATAAATGCCCTAAAACAATCTTGTCTTATAACTACAGGGCTGATGTTACTGAAAAATCAGAGTTCGATCCTGTGAGATGCTGAATTACCCACAGGTTGAGTTTACAGTCTTGTCAGGCCTGTTACATGAAACAGTATTGATTAGGAAAAAAGGCAAAGAATGGGACCTGAATACACTGTTGACTCCCTAGTCAACAGATGTTATCTCTCCTGCTGTGCTTGGTGCAGTTGTTCTGGTCTTGCCTAAAGACCTGTAAAAAGTTACGTACAACATAATGTGGTACAGATAGGTGCCAGTCACAGCTGTACTGGAAATGGCCTTTAAGTTTTTCTGTGTATGCAGGTCCAGGAGGCTGCACACTGTACTTAACATATGCCTGCTGGTCCATGTACAGAACCACTTTGGCCTCTTGGAGTCTATTCGTCTCATTCCCACTAGAATATCCTCAATGAAAATTATAAATAATATATAAAAAGCAAAAATAGGCCAGGCATGGAAGCTCATGCCTGTAATCCCAGCACTTTGGGAGGCCAAGGTGGGAGGATCGCTTGAGCCCAGGAATTTGAGACCAACCTGGGCAACATAGGGTGACCCTGTCTCTATAAAAAAAAATGTTTAAAAAGATTAGCCAGGCCTAGTGGTGTGTGTCTGTGATCCTAGTTACTGAGGAGGCTAAGGTAGGAGAATCATTTGAGCCCAGGAGATGGAGGCTGCAGTGGGCCATGATTGCACTACTGCACTCCAGCTTGGTCAACAAAGTGAGACTCTGTCTCAAAAAATAAAATAAAATAAAAACAACAATATATCAAAGGTAAACTGTTAAGAGCCAAGTTTCATTTGACTGGACAAAAACAATATAATATCACCCACTGAAATACAGCCATTTCTAATAAGCCAAATACCCATATTCAGCTTCCCTTGGTTGATGAAACACAAAGTAGCTAATTCAAACACTTGCCTTAAGTGTATCCAGTGCAGACAGAGCTGCTTCCAAGGCTGGAATCGCCTCAGCTAGGTCACTTTCACACTCATTTTTCAGAGCTTGGGCTTCTTCAGCTTTCCCACTGGCTATCTCTTCATCCAATTTCACAAATTGTCTTTTCGCTTCCACTTGTACAGACTCTATCTCAATAACCTAAAGAGGTGAAAGATGAAGACAATTTCTCAAACACCCTATTGCTTTCTCAATCCTAGACAAAAGAATATTTGAAAATTAGGGAATCTAACATATCATTTTGAAGGATAGAAGGGTCTATAATAAAATGAGGATATACAAATACATGTGAACTAATTTGGAAATGGGCTTCAAAAATTCCTTCAAAAAAGACAGAACCCACGTTAGACCCAGTGAGATAGCCAGTCAATGGAAAAGGGTAAAGTCTCTAAAGTCTAGTAGCAAAACATTAACCCTTATTTTCAAGGCTAATTTTACTTATTTCAATTGTCCTTTGACATCAAAAACATTCAGGATACTCTACCTGCATCATATTTGCATTTTCAATTTTAGCTTCCTCCAATTTGGGCTGTAATTCAACAAGCTCCATTTGCATTTCACCAACCTAAAGAGACAGTTTATAATATGATTAAGTTTCCATTGCTATAATTGCTATTGAAACCAAATGCAGAAAATAGAAATTTAAATGTATCCATAAAAGTATTGGAGCAGAAAATCTTAACTTTTTCTTCTAGTTCTTTGCATGACAAACAAAACTATGAAAGTGTGGGCCAGGGCCAAGCACGGTGGCTCACATCTGTAATCCTAGCACTTTGGGAGGTCAAGGCCGGTGGACTGCCTGAGCTCAGGAGTTTGAGATAAGCCTGGGGAACATGGTGAAATCCCATCTCTACTAAAAATAAAAATATTTGCCAGGCGTGGCAGCATGTGCCTGTAATCCCAGCTACTTGGGAGGGTGAGACAGGAGAATTGCTTGAACCCGGGAGGTGGAGCTGCAGTGAGCCGAGATTGCACCATTGCAATCCAGCCTGGGTGACAGAGTGACACTCCATCTAAAAAAAGAAAGTGTGGGTCAGTTTTCTTCACAAAAGACCTCAGTAGGAGAATGCAGTCACCATGGAAGAAATGTAGATTGAAAACAAAGCAGCATCTCAGAGTATTCCTGATATATTATGTGCATGACATGATACAAAGATCAACCAACCAAACCTCTATTACTTACGTTGAACTAACACTAGTAAGTATTACTAGCACTTGACTCATTAAAAAAACCACAAATCTTATATTTAACCAGCTTTTACAATAAAAAGCGACCTAAACTTATATTCTCTTAAATGGTAAAAAATTAATTAAAAATAAAACATGATATATTTGAGTCTGTGTGATCTAGGCAACTTATTGAACTTCTGTAAAACTTACTGTACTCATTTGTAAAATGAGGATCACAGAAGTGTCCACCTTATAGAGTTGTTATGAAGAATAACTGAAGGAATAGATGTGAAAGACATAACAAAGAGCCTGGCATATCACATATTCTCAATAAATTGTAGCTTGTATTATTATTTCTTATACTTCTCAGTATATATTACCATTTTGAGCAGCTCATCAAATTTACCTGAGACTCAGCAAAAGCTAATTTGTCAAGCCCATTCATGTATCGTTGTTTTGCTTCCATGACAGCTTGTCGCTTCTGTGTCAAAAGCTGTCGAAATGAGCCAATGAGTTCAAGATAAGAAGTAGCAGTAACATAGTTATGTCGTCCTAACTCATGCAAGAACCTAAAAGAGAGGCAGGTAACATAGCTCACTTTAAGTAATGGATTTCACAAAAAGGTAAATTCAACATACCATTAACAGACATTTAATAAAGATTACATTTTATACAGAAGCTACTGAGTACTTGAACATTTTAAGACTAGAATCCTACATATTACCACATTATAATTTCTTGTCTCTAAAATACCAACTAGTGGTGACATATTCAAAAGGCACAAATCAAGTGAGATCCTATCTTTTAAAAAACCACAAATCAACAAATATGTCTAATAAAAGATGAACTACAACAAGAAAGAATCAGACTATTTCACATGTTTCATAAGCCAGGAGGATCTAACTTGGTAAGAGACCCAAGATATCATGTAAACCAGGTTAAGTACAGTAGGAAAGGGGATAGCAGATAAGATAGCAAATACATGTGAATTAATTTGGAAATGGCCTTCACAAATCCCTTCATTGTCATTTTTAAATTCACTAATATTAACCTTTCTGAAAGATCCATAATGGAGGTGTGAAAGTGTTTACAGATTGGAACTATCTCTTGTTGTTCAACCTCAGTAAGCTCCAGTGTTTCTAAGAATTTCACAGCTACACGTTCAAGAGCATCTTCAGGCCATGACTAAAAATAAGAAAAAGAAAAACACTTGAAATTTAAGATGAACAGTAGTCTCATTCCAACTCCATAAGTTAATGCATAATAAGTTACATGACTTTCTATGGGAGAATAATTTGGTGTTGAGAAAATCAAAACTTTAATGAAGAAAACAGAATAAGAGGGACTGAGGTCTCTGAAAGACCTAATATTCTTATATATTAAAATGAAAAAAGGATAATATAAAGGAAGGATCAATGAAATTTTAGTTATCAAAGATGTATTACACTGTCTTCCCAACTCTTCTACTTGCATGTCTAGTAGGCATCCTAAATTTATCATGACAGTGGCAGAAGCTGCTAGTTGCCCACCCAATATCTACTAGCCCCTTCTTCCTTAGGACTCCAATTTTATTCTAGATAGCAATATACCCAGCTAAAAGACTAAATCTCCTAGACTCCCTTGGAATTCAGAATGGCCAATGACACATAAGCAGTTGTTGGGTGGAGACTTCAGGGAAGACTTTTTAGAGAGTTACATAGAGCTGGGATATCCTTTTTGGCCTACTTTCATTCTTCTACTTCTTGTTTGGAACATGGTTGTGAACAATGGCACTCCAGCAGCCACCTCAGGTCATAAGTTACTTTGAGAATGGAAATCACATGCTAAGGAGAGTAAAGCAGAAATAACTTGGGATCCTCATGACTTTGTTAAGCCACAAAAGCCCCACTCTGCTTACCTTTAGATTTTTTTTTCATATGACAGTTAAAAAACCCAATGTGTTTAGGTTGGGTTTCTGTTACTGGGAGACGATCACAATTTCTACTATAATGTCCAAAGTTGATTTTTAAATTTTCTTCCCTACAAATTTGCTTCCTAGCCAGTCCTCTCCATCTTAGTGAAATGGTTCCTTCCTTGGCTTTCCTGGAATATGCCAAGCATGCTCCTACCTCTGAGTCTTTGGACGTGCTTTTCCCTCTGACCAGAACCCTCTTCCCTCAGACCTCCATGTGGTTCATGCTGTCACTTCCTTCACATCCAAGCTCATATACTGACTTACCAGAGCACTCTTTATAAAACAGCATTCCTTCCCCCATTACTCTGTCTTTTATACTGAGTTTTCTTCTCAGCACTTACCAATACATGGCATATCATTAATCTTTATTTGTTCACTAGAGTATTTTCCAGATTTCCTTTCATTTAGTTTCAATAATATGCTTATAATTTTTTTCCTTTGTGGCAGACAATATGCATTTTAAGACCATTTTTTTTTTGGTGTCTAGCCTAAGCACATACTGCCAGTGTATGCATTTTTTATTAATAGATTGTTATATTCATGTGATCCAATTGTACCAATATATATTTTAAATCTAAAAAAGAGACTTCTAAAGAACTATTAAGATTAGTGAAATTTTATAAAATGCCAGGTTAAATGTCATATAACTTACACATCATTAAAAAACATTACAGAGGAGGCTTAGACTGGATTAAGAAAATGTGGCATATATACACCATGGAATACTATGCAGCCATAAAAAAGGATGAGTTCATGTCCTTTGTAGGGACATGGATGAAGCTGGAAACCATCATTCTCAGCAAACTATCACAAGGACAAAAAACCAAACACTGCATGTTCTTACTCATAGGTGGGAATTGAACAATGAGAACACTTGGACACAGGGTGGGGAACGTCACACACCAGGGCCTGTCGTGGGGTTGGGGGAGGGGGGAGGGATAGCATTAGGATATATACCTAATGTAAATGGTGAGTTAATGGGTGCAGCACACCAACATGGCACATGTATACATATGTAACAAACCTGCACGTTGTGCACATGTACCCTAGAACTTAAAGTATAATAAAAAATAAATAAATTACAACATTCTCTTTCTCTTCCCCCACCTTTCCCATGCACTTCTTCCTGTTTTAGTCTTCCCTTTAGTGTTTGTCACCAGTTCATGTATATTTTATCTTGTGTATATTTACTTCTTTATCTTATTTACTCTCTGTCCCCTCCATTAAAAAGCAGGTCCACAGGAAAAAAAAAAAACATTACAGAGGCTTATATTTATGTTCTGGGTGCTTCATTTTTAATCATCCTGCTAATAATCATGCACATTTAATACTATCTTTGGCAGTTAGAATATTTATGACTAAAGAGGCAGAAAACCAGTCTTACTGTATCTTCAAAAAAAAGAAGATGCATATTCTTATAGAGTAATACCCAGAAGTAGGGTATTTCCAGGGTTGCTTCATTTAGAAGCTCAACTATATTATCAAGTATTCACGTTCTTTCCGTCTTGTTGTTCCCTTTCTCAGTGCACTTTATTTCATACTTGGGCTTGTCCCATTATGGTGACATGATGACTGCTGCAGCTATGGGCATCACATTCTCAAGCAACAAGATTGAGAGACAAAAAAGGCCCTTTTCTTACCATGTGACTCCTTTTATAGTGAAAATACTTTTTTTCCCCAAAGCTCCCCAGCAGACTTTACCTCAAGACCCATTGGCAAGGAATGGCTCATACATGGGCTCAGGCATAAAACAATCACTAGCAAGAGAAATGAAAGCATACATATATACATATAAATATATATACACATATGTGTGTGTGTGTGTGTGTGTGTGTATATATATATATATATAATACTTTTTTTTTTGAAATGGAGTTTCACTCTGTTGCCAGGTTGGAATGCAGTGGCACAATCTCGGCCCACTGCAACCTCCACCTCCTGGGTTCAAGCAATTCTCCTGCCTCAGCCTCCCGAGTAGCTGGGACTACAGGCGTGCACCACCACACTGAGGTAACTTTTGTATTTTTAGTAGAGATGGGGTTTCACCATGTTGGCCAGGATGCTCTCCATCTCTTGACCTCATGATCCACCCACCTCAGCCTCCCAAAGTGCTGGGATTACAGGCGTGAGCCACCGTGCCCAACTGAGAGCACCAATATTGACTTAGGGCTGGGCACAATGGCTCGTGCCTATAATCCCAGGACTTTGGGAGGCTGAGGTGGGAGACAAGCTTGGGCAACATAGAGAAACCCTGTCTCTATAAAAAATTTAAAAATGAGCTGGGCATGGTGGCATACACCTATAGTCCCAGCTACTCTGGAGGCTGAGGTGGGAGGATTGCTTGAGCCCAGGAGGCAGAGGTTTCAGTGAGCTGTGATTGCACCAGTGCACTCCAGCCTGGGCGACAGAGATCCTGTCTCAAAAAAAAAAAAAAAAATATATATATATATATATATATATATACTTAGACCAACCATGATTCAATCCCTCTGATACACAGCTACATGGAGGGTGATTTCCCAAACAAAACCAGAATGCAGTTCATAATAAATAGGCAAAGAGAATAAAACAAATCAGTACCAGAAACTATTTTTTTTCTTTTAATTATCCAGGGTCAATGCACAGTCCACATTCTATTGGGCATAAAACAATAGAAGGTACCATGAGCTACTGTTCTCAAGAGTATGAATACCAAATTGTATTAAACAGGCAGTGACAGTCTGTCTTAGGTGAGGCAGTGGCCTTCATCATTTGCTTCCAGCATGACTGAAATTGTTGCCCAGTTGGTTTTCCTGTCTCTTGTTTTGCCCTACTCCAATTCACCTACCACACAGCTTCCAACTGCTTTGGTTTTTTCCTAAATGCAGATTATCTAAAAATATGTTGATGCTACTGTGATATCTCTGGTATAAAACCAAATTCCTGGGAATACCTTGCCAATGTCTTTGTAACCTGGTACCCACCCAAAGCTCCAACTCAACTGCTGCTGCCCTTAAAATGCCAGCCAGCTATACCAAACAATTTTCAGTGGGGCAGATGAGCCATCCTCTCCCCACCCTTCTCCTTTTCCAAGTACTATTCTCTAATAATGGTTCATTTTATGTGTCAGTCAACTTGACTGGGCTATGAGGTTCCCAGATATTTGGTCAAACATGATTCTGGGTGTTTCTGTGAGGGTGTTTTTACATGCATTCAACATTTAAATCATTATACACTGAGTAAAGCAGAGTGCCCTCCCTAATGTCAGTGGGCTGCATCCAATTGTCCTTGTCCAGTTTTGTTCAATCCAATGGAACAAAAATGCTGACCCTCCCCCAAATTCCTCCTGTATGATTGCCTTCAAGCTAAGACATTATTTTTTTTCCTCCCTTCAGCCTTGGACTGAATTGGCTCTTTCTGGATCCTGAGCCTGCCGGCCTTCAGACTGGAACTACATCACTGGTTTTCCTGGGCTTTCACCTGCCAACTGCAGATCTTGGGACTTTTTAGGCTTCATAATCATATGAGCCAATTCCTCATAATAAATTTCTTTACATACAAATTTCCTATTGATTCCTAATACACTCCCTCTCTATGTAACTAACTCATCTTCATGACTCAGAAATTCACTGCCTTCGTATATATACCCTTTGCACATCAACATTATGGCTCTCTTATATAATCATGATTACTGACTGCTTTTTCTGTCTTCCAGTCTACAGTGTAAGCTCCTTGTGAGGATCATGTAGTCTTATCAGTCTCTGGTGCTGAACATTATGCCTGTCATTACAGTAAGTGATCAAGAAACACTTGCTGAATGTATATTAATAAAGTTTTTCAAATATTTCAGTAAAATTCCAAAAGAGTTAGTTGCCTCCCCCTCCAACCAAGAAAAATTACAAACCTGAAACCAGTCAATGGTACAGCAATTGATGAGGGATGGGAACTGTCTCAAGCGATTTCGAAAGGCATCTCCAATGGGGCTAAAGGCCACCACGACATGAAGATTATCTTTGCAGCGATTCACAAAGAAAGCAAACAGAGCTAAGGGACTGAGTTCATCATGTTTATTGCCAGCCTGAGCTACTGGGCGAACACCCTAGGGAATATCAGAAAATAAAAACCTTGTAAATAAAAATAGATGAGCTGGTAATGAGATTGGTGGATATTAGAATATGAAGAAGTTTTATTGCACCCTGTAAATATCTGTAAAATTTTGGTTTTATATCAATAGAATGGCTTTGACATAGTTTGTACTTAGAAAACCTCTTCCAACTCCAAAATTCTATAATTTAAAAACAAGTTATCTGCCAAGAATTTACCTTAAAGATAATCACAAAATTCACCAAGATGTATAGAAATATAATTTTACATTGTTTTTAAGAGAAAAAAATGTAAACAGCTGAAGTATCAATCAGTAAGGAACTAGTTATAAATGTAAAATATCCACATATTAGCATTTTATACAACAGTTAAAAATAATAAATTGGTGTCTCATGCCTGGAATCCTAGTTTCTTGGGAGGCTGAGGTAAGAGCCCAGGAGTTCGAAGCTGCAGTGAGCTATGACTGCACCACTGCACTCCAGCCTGGGCAACAGAGCAGTGAGACTTCATCTCTAGAAAAACAAAAACAAAAACAAACAACAAAAAAACACACACACAGTGTATTTTGTGCTACGGGAAGATAAGCAGGATAAAATAACTAAAAAAAAAGTTTTGCGACAGTATATAGAATATGATCCTGTTTAAAAAATAAAGATGTATATAAAATAGCAAATATAAAACAGAAATAGTGAAGCAATGGAAAAGTTTAGTAGCAAAGTGATGGGAAGAAAAGATAGATAATAGCTAAAGAAGCAGGAAAGCCTAGCAAAGCTTAGGAAATTCCATTCCCCAAAGGTGACTATTCCTTGGATGGGCATATGGAGGATGCATTTCTCCTATAAATCAGGAGAGTACCACTAATTTACAGCCTTGGTCACATCTCTGACATATCCCAGATAAAAGCAAAGAACATGGGTTTTTGTTGTTGTTGTTGTTGTTTTGTCCTCTTTTATCCCTTCACGCTCCATACCATGAACTGGTAATGCACCATTTACTGAGAGCTGTGTAAGTGCCTGACACTACATAAGTGCTTTATTTTGTTTGATTCTCAAACCTCACAACAACCCCATGTAGGAAGAACTCTTATCTGTGCTGCCATTTCATGGAAGAGAAAAGCAGAGTACTTGAAAGTGTGAGTCCTTTTCACTCCAGATGTTATGGCTGGAGGTTGGGAATTAAATATCCAGGTGTGAGTGATATATTTTGTGGGTAAAAGTGATTATGGTAATGAGAAAGTGTGACATTACTTTCATCTTAGAAATGAGGTCTAAAGTGGCCGGGCGAGGTGGCTCACGCCTGTAATCCCAGCACTTTGGGGGGCCGAGGCAGGCGGATCACGAGATCAGAAGATTGAGACCATCGTGGCTAACACGGTGAAACCTCGTCTCTACTGAAAATACAAAAATTAGCTGGGCCTGGTGGCAGGCGCCTGTGGTTCCAGCTACTTGGGAGGCTGAGGCAGGAGAATGGCGTGAACCCGGGAGGCGGAGGTTGCAGTGAGGCGAGACCACATCACTGCACTCCAGCCTGGGTGACAGAGCAAGACTCTGTCTCAAAAAAAAAAAAAAAAAAAAAAAAAAGAAAGAAAGAAAAAGAAAAAGAAAAAGAAATGAGGGTTAAAGTAGGTGATAGTAGCAGACACGTCACCATTGTATTTTTTGTCAATTAAATCACAAACAAGACTTTCAGATGTATCAAACCCATAAGATAGTTTTATTAAAACTTTAAAAAAATTTACTAACCAGTGTAAACCACAAAGACTAATAAAGTAGCATTAAAATCATGTTTTCTTACATCAATGTAACCTTAAGAGATGATTTAAAAATCTCCAATCACTCATAAAACATGCTAAATAACATTAAACAGGTGAAACAAACTGCCATTATGATGAAGATAGGAGTTATAAAAATTATGCCTCATAACTATGGTAGAAGCAATTTAAAATTCACCAAACAATGATGTATTAAACTAATATACTTTAAATTTTTAATTACCCCCAAACTCATATGTACAAACTATATTTATCCTGAAGAGCAGAGAAACAGTTTCAAGAAATAAAGTTTTTGTGCTAGAAGCAGCACTTCCCCAAAAGCATTTACCTCCATCACTTCCTGCTTCTCATCTGCTGCAAAAATGTTAGGCACTTCTCCTGTATTGAGCACACTGTCGATATCCTCTAGGAAAGCTTCCTCTTTAATCTGAGTGTCCGTGATAAGAAAGACGGTCTTCTGGCCCTTCATGCCCACATTCCTTAACAGACCCTTAAAATAAAAATGGACTTGTAAGCAGAATATGGTAGACATCTGTTGGTTTTGATTTCCCTCACTTTCCCTTTCCTTTGATAACAACACTTTGATTTTTAGGGCAGTACCTCTCCCCACTTCTACTGGGGCTGTCAACTGGGACCTCCACTGCCTCCGTCCCCTGGGTGGGAGATCCAAACTGGTCAGAGTTTCCCCAAAACCCTAGACATAATCACTGATTCAGAGGATGGCATATGATTTAAGCAGGGCCCAATCATAGTCTTACTTCAGGGACTGAGATAGACTTGAAACAGAGAGAATCCTGGCTGTTCTGAGATGGAATATATAAAGGCCAGTAACCTAAATTACTTGGAGCTAACTGTTTGCCTCATGGTATGAGCCTGCTGGAGAAGGAAGCCAAATGGAGGAGAGTTGTGTCAGGAGACAGAAAGAGTAATTACTAAGGAAATAATTTAAGACCCCAAATTCAGCTATGTCAAAAGCCTATCTACCTCTAGACGCTTCAGTGTAGACAGGCTGGGGTTTTTATGCAGGGGTCAACTGCAACCCAAATTCCTAATATAAGATATGGGCTCAGTAGTGTGCTGAAGCTGACTTGTATAGGCTTGTTAGAACCGATTGTTAAAATTTCAGGAACTTGTCAGTAGTTTGTAAAACATAGCCAGGATTTAAAAATTGAATTATATAAACTTGCAATTATATAAAAATATAATTATATTTAAAAGGGAGGTAAATGCGTAAATATCATCATCTCCTATTTTATTATGTTACTATTATCTATGCTCTGGAAAGTTTTTCAAGTTATTGTATCAATATAGTAAAATACAATGTCATGATGTTCCATGCATATCTCTTTTCAGTTCTATTCTCAGTGACAGCGTTGGGAGCTTCAAATCAGCCATGGTGGGAGTTTTTACATCATGGAAATTGGAAAATCTACCATCAGGCTCTCTCTCACCCCCGGTCCTGGAAAGCTGGTTGTTAAACATTTGTCAGCATACAAACTGGCTGTAGTTCACAGTGAAAATAGCATTACAACTTCTCTAAGTTATTTTTAAAAATAACCTTCTATATTGTAAAACTATGTATTTTAAATCATTAAATATTAACTAATATTTTCACTCCATAAAATAAATGGTGGATTTTTATATTGTACACAAAAACAACTATGTCCTTTTCCCATTAAAGCCATCTTCCAATATGAAGCCTGTTTTGTTCTTAGAAATAAGTTTCTGTCATCAAAACTAGAGAGTCTAGTTTTTAAAGTAGTATTGTATCAAATCATGTCAGGTTTATAATTATTAATATTATATCAAAATAAATCTTAGGCTGGGTGCAGTGGCTCACCCCTATAATCTGAGCACTTTGAGAGGGTGAGGCAGGAGGATTTCTTGAGCCCAGGAGTTTGAGAGCAGCCTGGACAACATAATGAGAGCCTGTCTCTAAAAAAATAAAAAAAATAAAAATTAGCTGGGCATGGTGGTACATGTCTGTAGTCTCACAGGCAGCTACTAGGGAGGGTGAGGTGGGAGGATTGCTTGAGCCTGGGAGGTTGAGGCTGCAGTGAACTATGATCATGCCACTGTATTCCAGCTGGGGTGACAGAGTGAGACATCTCACTCTGTCTTATTTTAAATTAAAAATTTAAAAATTTTAATTTAGGCTGGGCGCGGTGGCTCAGGCCTGTAATCCCAGCAGTTTGGGAGACTGAGGCAGGTGGATCACCTGAGGTTGGGAGTTCGAGACCAGCCTGACCAACATGGAGAAACCCTATCTCTACGAAAAATACAAAATAACCTGGGCATGGTGGCACATGCCTGTAATCCCAGCTACTTGGGAGGCTGAGGCAGGAGAATCGCTTGAACCTGGGAGGCAGAGGTTGCAGTGAGCCAGGATTGTGTCATTGCCCTTTAGCCTAGGCAACAAGGGCAAGACTGCATCTCAAAAAAAAAAACAAAAAAAAAAAAAAAAAAAAGAGAACCATAAACATTTTAATTTAAAATAAAATTTACAATACAATATAAACAAACATATTTAACTTATTGTCATGAGCATCATCGTGATTTTTTTTTTGTTTTTTGAGACAGAGTCTTGCTCTGTTGACTGGGCTGGAGTACAGTGGCATGATCTTGGCTCACTGCAACTTCTGCCTCCCAGGTTCTAGCGATTCTCCTGCCTCAGCCTCCCAAGTATCTGAGATTACAGGTGCTTTCCACTACAAGTGATTCTTCTGCCTCAGCCTCCCAAGTATCTGAGATTACAGGTGCATTCCACTACAAGTGATTCTCCTGCCTCAGCCTCCCAAGTATCTGAGATTACAGGTGCATTCCACTACAAGTGATTCTCCTGCCTCAGGCTCCTGAGTAGCTGCGATTACAGGTCTGTTCTACCACACTTGGCTAATTTTTGTATTTTTAGGAGAGACAGAGTTTCATCATGTTGGCCAGGCTGGTCTCAGACCTCTGACCTCAGGTGATCCGAGACCAACCTGGCCAGCATGGTGAAATCCCGTCTCTACTAAAAATACAGGAAAAAAAGAATTAGCCAGGTATGGTGACGGGCACCTATAATTCCAGCTACTAGGGAGGTTGAGGCAGTAGAATCACTTGAACTCGGCAGGTGGAGGTTGCAGTGAGTGGAGATCGTGCCACTGCACTCCAGCCTGGGTGACATAGTGAGAGTCCATCTCAAAAAAATAGATATTAATTATATGTCAGGAATATTATGAAAATCCTTACATACATTATATAATTTAACCACAATAATCTTTGAAATAGGTGGTATTACCCAAATTTTACAAATGAAAAATCTAGAAAGTGACCATCAGCAAGATAATGGGCTAGGAAGCTCTAGACCCTTGTTCTCCCCTGAAGACATGTATTAGCAATATACAGAACACAATTACCTTTGTAAGGACTTTAGAAACTAGTTAAGTGGCTGCAGCACCCAGAAAAGAGCATGAACAAGAGAAGGGACTGTTCCCAAAAGGGTAAGACAGTACCTCAAATTTTTCTCACTCTAGCTCCTCCCCCAGCTGGGCACAGTTTGGGGAGATCTAGAGAATACCATCCAAATCATGGCTCCTTCCTCAGGACAGAAGAAATATAGTTGAACTTGAGCCCAGAATACTGGCTTGTGTGGGGGCTGTTTCACCTGCCTTCAGGTGCTAACAGGAACAATGGCCAATTTTGGACACCAGGTTGGAGGCCACTGAAACATAGGTGAGTTCCCTGGTGGGTTAGAGCAGCAGAAGCTGCAGTTCTACTGGCAGGCACCAGGGAGAGCAAGAGATCAAGGGCAGAGGAATACAACGGAATCAGCAACTGAAAGCTCCTGAGAAGAAACAGGAAATTAAGACAGTCAAAAGCACTCATACATGCAACAATAAAAGCACACATACAACCTCAAAGAAGACACGTCCCCAGAAAATGTCTGAAAGGTCCCAGAACCTCTAGCTAGGTTGATTGGTGAAGATCTTCCCTGCATGAGGCCAGTCATAATGATTGGGAGGGGTGGCTGTATTTCAAATGGTCAGCTCTCAAAAAGATCACAAGGGATGCAAAGAATTAAGGAAACGTGGCCCAGTCAAAGAAACAAAATAAAGCTCCAGAAACCAACCATAAGGAAATGCAGATCTATGAACTGACTAGCAAAAAATTTAAAATAACTACCTTAAAGATACTCAATGAGCTGAAAGGAACCCAGAGCTAAATCAGGAAAACAATGCATGAACAAAATGAGAATTAACAAAGATATAGAAACTATAAAATATAAATTCTGGACCCAAAACATAAAACTGAACTAAAAAATTATCTACAGGGGTTCAACATTAGACTTGATTGGGCAGAATCAAGAGTCAACCAACTTGAAAACAAGTCGTTGGAAATCACCGGGTTAATGGAGCAAAAACAAAACAAAAACAATAAACGAAGGTGGAGCAAGCCTAAGGGATTTATGGTACACCATCAAGTGGACCAATATATGCATTATGGAAATCCCAGAATATGAGAGAGAGAAAGAGAGGACAGAGAGCTTTTTCAAGAAATAATGACTGAAAATTTCTCAAATCTCAGGAAAGAAGTGGATATAAAAATTCCATTTTATGGAAGATCAATGAATTCCAACTAGGATGAAGTCATAGAAATCCACATTAAGAAACAATATAATCAAACTGTCAAAAGTCAGATACAAAGAGAAAATCCTGAAAGCAGCCAGAGAAAAGCAACTTGTCATCTACAAGGGAATTACCTTAAGATTAGCAGTGAATTTCTCAGCACAAATTTTACAGACCAGAAGGAAGTAAGGTGACATATTCTAATTGCAGAAAGATAAAAACCTGTCAACCAAGGACAATGTATCTGGTACAGCTGCCTTACAAAAATGAAGGTGAAATTAAAACCTTTCCAGATGAACAAACACCGAGGGAGTCCTTAGTACTATATCTGCCTGACAAGATATGCTAAAGGGAATCCTTCAAGTTGAAACAAAAGAACCTAGAATGTAACATGAAGCCATACAAAAGTATAAAGTTCTCCAGTCAAAGTAAACATGTGGAGAAATAGAGAATCCTGTATTATTGTAATTTTGGTGCATAAATCTACTTTTAATTCTAAAAAACAAAAACATGCCTTATAAATGTATGTTAATTAGTACATAATATATAAAGATACAATTTGTGACATCCAGAACAAAAAATGGGGGAGGGGTGGAGCTATAAAGGGGTAACATTTTTGTATGCAACTGAAGTTAGGTTGTTAGCAGTTTAAAATAATTTGCTATAACTTTAGGTTGTTTTATGTAGTAGTAATGGTTAACTACAAAGAAAACATAGAATATAAACAAAAGGAAATGAGAAGGGAATAAAGAATGCCCCTACAAATAAAAATCATCATAACATAAAAGGCGGCAATAAAAGAAGAAATGAGGAAAAAAAGAAGCTACAAGACACACAGAAAACAAATATCAAAATGGCAATAATAAATCCTTCCCTATCAGTAATTACATTAAATTTAATGGATTAAATTCCTCAATCAAAAGACATAGAGTGGCCAAATGGATTAAAAAAAAGATCCATTAATATGCTGCCTACAAGAGATTCATTTTAGATCCAAGGAAATATGTAAGCTAAAGAATGGAAAAAGATATACCAGCCAAATGGTAACTAAGAGAGAGCAGGGATAGCTATACTAATATCAGACAAAAATAGACTTTAAGTCAAAAACAACCACAAGAAAGGATATTACATAATGATAAAAGGGTCAATTTACCAGGAAGATATAACAATTACAGTTGACCACTGAACAACACAGGTTTGAACTATGTGAGTCCACTTATATGTAGATTTTCCTCTGCTTCTGCCACCCCTGAGACAGCAAGACCAACTCACTCCTCTTCGTCCTCTTCATCCTCAGCCTACCCAACATGAAGATCGTGAGGATGAAGACCTTTGTGATGATCCACATCCACTTAATGAATAGTCAATATATGTTTCTTCCTTAGGATTTTTTAAGTAACATTTTCTTTTATCTGGCGTACTTTATTATAAGAATACAGTTTAATACATATAACATACAAAATACATGTTAATCAAATGTTTATGTTACCAGTAAGGCTTCTGGTCAACACTAGGCTATTAGTAGTTATGTTTTGGGGGAGTCAAAAGTTATATGTGGGCTAAGCACAGTGGCTCAAGCCTGTATTCCCAGATCTCTGGGAGGCCAAGGCAGGAGGATTGCTTGAGCTTAGGGGTTCAAGACCAGACTGGCCAAATGGCGAAACCCCATCTCTACAAAAAATACAAAAATTAGCTAAGCATGGTGGTGTGCACCTGTAATCCCAGCTACTCAGGAGGCTGAGGCATGAGAATCGCTTGATCTCAGGAGGTGGAGGTTGCAGTGAGCTGATATCGTGCCACTGCACTCCAGCCTGGGGCAGAGCGAGACTCTATCTAAAAAAAAAAATTATATGTGAATTTTCATCTGTGTTGGGGGTTGGTGTTGTTTAAGGGTCAACTGTATAAATATTTATGCACCAAACCACAGATATCCTAAATATATGAAGCAAACTTTGGCAGAAGTGAAAGAAGAATTGTACAGCAACACAATACAGTAGTCCCCCCTTATCCATGGGGGATACATTCCAAGACCCCCAGTGGATGCCTGAAACAACAGATAGTACTGAATCCTACATATGCTATTTTTTCCATACATAACTATGATTAGATTAATTAATAAATTAACAGCCAGACATTAACAACAAATAATAAAGAGAACAATTATTACAACATACTGTAATAAAAGTTATGTGAATGTGGTCCCTTTCACTCTCAAAATATCTTATTGTACTGTGCTTATCTCTTTTTGGACCACAGTTGACTGTGGGTAACTAAAACTGCAATAAGAAAAGCCACAAGTAAGGGGGGACTACCATAATAGTAAGAGACTTGAATACCCCACTTTCAATAATGGATAGAACACCTGACAGAAGATCAATAAGGAAATAGAGGACTTGAACATTGTAGACCAACTGATCTAACAGATATTTACCAAACACTCCATCCAGCAACAGTAAAACATATATTATTCTCAAGTGCACATGAAACATTCTCTAGGATAGACCACATTAGGCCACAAAACAAGTCTTAACAAATTTTAAAAGACTGAAATCATAGAAAGTATCTTTCCTGATCACAATGGTACAAAACTAGAAATCAATGCCAGAAGGAAAAATTTAAAAATTCACAATATATGAAAATTAAACTGTTAATTTAATTGTTAAACAACCAGTAAGTCAAAGAAGAAATCACAAGGGAAATTAGAAAATATCTTGAGAAAATTAAAACAAAAACAAACAAACCAAAACTTGAGGGATGCAGCAAAAGTATTGCTGAGAGGGAAGTTTGTAGCTGTAAATACATATATTGAAAAAGAAGAGGCCAGACGCGGTGGCTGACATCTGTAATCCTAGCAGTTGGGGAGGTTGAGGCAAGTGGATTGCCTGAGCTCAGGAATTCGAGACCAGCCTGGGCAACACGGTGAAACCCATCTCTACTAAAATACAAAAAAAAAAAAAAGAAAAAATTATCCGGGCATGGCAGTGTGCACCTGCAATCCCAGGTACTTGGGAGGCTGAGACAGGAGAATCGCTTGAACCTGGGAGGCGAAGATTGCAGTGAGCCGAGATTGCACCACTGCACTCCAGCCTGGGTGACAGAGTGAGACTCCATCTCAAAAAAAAAAAAAAAAAAAGAAGAAGAAGAAGAAGAAAGACATAAAATCAACAACCTAACTAGACACCTCAAGGAACTAGAAAAAGAAGACTAAACCAAACCCAAAGCTAGCAAGGAAGCTAGGAAGGAAATAATAAAGATTAGAGTGGAGATGAATGAAATAGAGAATAGAAGATCAATACAAAAAAAAAGAGAGAGAGAAGACTCAAATAACAAAAATCAGAAATGAAAATAGTAGCACACTCTGGTAGCACAACCAATGCCACAGAAATACAAAGAATTATAGGAGAATGATATGAACAATTGTATGCCAATAAATTGGATAACCTAGCAGAAATGGATAAGTCCCTAGAAACTAAAGCACCGATCGATTTATTAATATGCTAAAAATAACATAGCTAACAAATCATGCAAAGCAGGAACTAATACTGTATCTGTCTAATTTCAAAGTCCACGTTCTTGCTACTATGAAGTAGTAAATGAAGTATGCTGATTTCTAAATTTGTAGTTAATTTGGTAGACAATGCATCAAAAGTTTTCCTCTAAAGTGTAAGCAGAAAAAGAAACAATGTAAGTGTAATTTTCCTTTCATGTCTATGTAGATAGATTTCTTTGGTATGAGCTTGGATTCTACCATTTCCGCCTAGAAGTAGCAAAGAAAAATCCATTTCTCTATGCTAAATTTTAGGTTGTAGAAATTGTTTGTGAAAGGTCAGTGAAAGTGAAAGAAGTCCAGCAATTTCTCCCTTTTTTTTTTCCACTTTGTATCATCTCTCTGTTGGGGCTACAGACCCCTAGGCATATAAGGACGAAGCCCCAAGTATGCACTCCACTATCCTGTTGGTCACCGGGACAGCAATAAAGCTCTAAAGAAACTATTAAGATTACTACTAAGACAACATTAATGCCATCAACATCATCATCAGGTTCATGGTTAAATCTGCTAGAAACCATTTATTTATCTGAAATAAGTCCTCTCTGAACTGGAATAAATATATAGTCAGTGGCACAAGCCAGGTACAGAAAGATAAACATTACATGTTCTCACTTATATGTAGGAGCCAAAAAAGTTGACCTCATGGAGGTAGAGAGTAGAAAGACACTTATCAGAGGCCAGAAAGGAGAGGCAGACAGAGGAGGATAAAGAGAAGCAGCTCAATGGGTACGAACATGCAGTTAGAAGAAGTTCCAGTGTTCAATAGTACAATAGCGCAACTATATTTAACAATGTATTGCATATTTCAAGATAGAAGATTTGCAACATTCCCAACACAAAAAGATCGATGTTCTACGTGATAGATATCCTAAATGTGCTGACTCCATAGTTATTCATTTTATGCATGTATCAAAATATCACATGTACCTCATAAATATGTACAAATATTATACATCAATATTTTTTTAAAGCAGCAGCCATGGTAATAGTGTAGTGGATAAGACTTGAGTTAGAAAGCCTTGCTCTGTTATGTGTCACATGTCACTCAGCTTCGGTAAAACACAGAGACAACCCACCTGCTGCATTGCATTGCTGTGCCTATAGAATGAGATCATGTAGGTAAAAGCGGTAAAAGCTAGGTAAAGCACTCAGGACAGAACTCAACACACACAGTAGATGCTCTATGGACAGTATTAGCATCATCATCATCACTGGAGTTCAGTACACAGCTACACAGGCTGGTTCTCTCTTTACGAGTAAAAGAATATACTGTTTTCATTTTAGATACTAGGCTTCTTCATAATTTTACCTTCATATCCTCTCTCCATTCATTCATACCATAGCTCTTAGAAATTTCTGGTTGGAAAATATGCATTTTTGCCATGGATGTAGCCAGACGAGTTAAAGATTGACGACCACTTCCTCCAAGACCAACAAGCAAAGCATTTCCACCAGATTGCTTTAGAACTCGACATATTCTTGATAAATGTTCCAAAACATACCTACCACAAAAGAAAAATTTTATTAATGCATTACAATATAAATGTAAATGTATAGTTACATGTAACTATTGTTTCACTTTCCTAGAAGAATGTGACTCTGCTGTCCCATATGTTACTATCCCAATTTTAAAGAGTTTACTATCAAAAAGTGTGATTTTTCAAAAGCAGTTACAACTGGATCATTTGATGTAGGGGAAAACTAATTAAAAGTTCAAATTCAGGAAATTTGATATACAAGTTATACAAATAAAATGAAATATTAACTGCTAATACTGGCAGTATATTATCACTTTTATTAAATATGTTTCTTCAGTCTCTTAAGATTTCTATGTGAGAAAAGATCATTACCTATAAAATAACAAATTCAGAAAAGGCACTTAGCTTCACTGGTAATTAGGTTAATTAAAATTAAAATGATAATGAGATACCATTTCACTCTCCTTAGACTAGAAAAACTTACAGTATCTGCCAGTCCTAAGCATCAGCAAAGGTGAAGAATAATGGAAGCTCTCAAAAATAATAATCACTTTAAAAGATGTTTTGGCAAAATTTAGTAAAGTTGAAGATGCTTATATACTATGACATGATAATCCCACTTATAGGAAAATAGCCTAGAGAAATTCTCACACATGTACCCAAGGAGACACGGATGTGAATTTTCAAAGCCTTTTTTATAATAGCAAAAACTAGAAGTCACCTAAAATTTGTCTCAGAAGAATGACTGCATTGTGGTACAATTATATAATAGAATGCAATATAGTGGTAAATATTCATTTTTCTGTGACTCTCACAATATGGAATAAACCAACTAGCAGAAGATTATATCCAGTATTATACCATTTATATGCAGTTTTAAAATATGCAAAATAAGACTACATACATATTTACGAATACATACATGTATAGTAAAAGTTCTAAGAAACAAAAGTTTCGGCCAGGTGTGGTGGCTCACATCTGTAATCCCAGCACTTTGGGAGGCCAAGGCAGGCGGATCACTTGAGGTCAGGAGTTCGAGACCAGCCTGGCCAGTATGGTGAAACCCCATCTCTACTAAAAATACAAAAAAAAATTAGCCAGGCATGCCGGCGCATGCCTGTACTCCCAGCTACCTGGGAGGCTGAGGCAGGAGAATGGCTTGAACCCGGGAGGTGGAGGTTGCAGCGAGCTGAGATAGTGCCATTGCACTCCAATCTGGGCAACAGAGCAAGACTCAGTCTCAAAAAAAAGAAAAAGAAAAAAGAAACACAAGTTTCTTTTCACTACTACTCGTATGACACAGGATGCAGTGAGACAGGGTGACTATAACAGGGAATTTCAAATAAATTACTAATATTTTATGTTTTATGCTGGATAATGGGTACAAAGTCATTCACTGTATTTTTCTTTACACCTTTTGGTACATTTCAAACATTTCATAATAACATTTTACAGATAGCAATTTCAAGCATCAACACCATATATAGGTACCTAAAAATGACAAGATTCATTCTTGTTTTGTGTGTTTGATTATACTCATCTAAGCACTGGTCCACAACATCACTAAAATGATGAATATTTGGAATTTCAATATAAACTCTATCATCTCCTTCAAGGTCAGGATTCATATAATCACCAAACATGAGATTTCTTAAGTCTTCTTCAGTTACCTATAGAAAGGAAATCAACAAATTTTAAAACTTAAAACATTTAAAAATAAATTTAAGAAAACAAAATTTTTGTTTCATCCATGTTATAAAGTAATTAAGTTTTTAAACATTAGGGTAGTAAAAAATGCACTTATAAAATTAATACCTGAAATTATATCCTTAGGATATAAAAAGAAAAGTAAGATTTATATGTTTTGTTGTTGTTAGGCTAGAGAAGTCATTCTGGGCGACTCCCATTGAGTAGTTACTAAGTGATGGTCATCATGTTAAGCACTTTATATCTATTATATCATTTATTCCCTATCACATAAGGTGTTATTCTTTAAATAACTTCTATGTTACATACTTTCCTATGAAGATAAATCTTCTCAAAACAAACACCTATTTACAAGGAATGCTAAAAGAATATGTTCATTAAGAAATGATTTTTAAAAATATAACTTAATTGTAACAATTCATATATGGTACTGCTTTAACTCAATATGTTCTTAATCGCCATACTCACTGGTGCATTTTGTTTCCTCAAATGTGAAAAGATACTGTGAAATGATTCTTTAAAATGGTCCTTTATAACAGTTTTAGTTAACTGGAACAGCCATCTTCGATCATCATCATTAATGAGGCGATCATAAAACACTCGGAGAACCTCATGCACAAACAGACGGATCATAGTGTGTTTGTTCGCCACGGCGTCTCTTTCAATGAGTAAACAGCCCCGGATGACGCGTGAAAAATCACGCAAGTTGAAAGTATAATGGGATTTTGTGGGAGTGGGTAAAAGATTTTCCACAGATTGTTTATATATCTGAATATGAAAAAAGCAACAAAGCAAAAATAAAATGCTTATAATCAGTAAAGTCATGTAACCAGTGGAATGTTATACAAAATATTTTATTTACTCTGTCAGATTATATGGGCTTGGGCTGGGCGCGGTGGCTCACATCTGTAATCGCAGCACTTTTGGAGGCTGAGGTGGGCAGATCACCTAAGGTCAGGAGTTCGAGACAAGCCTGGCCAACATGGCAAAACCCTGTCTCTACTAAAAATACAAAAATTAGCCAGGTGTCATGGCACGTGCCTGTAATCCCAGCTACGCAGGAGGCTGAGGCAGGAGAATGGCTTGAACCCGGGAGGTGGAGGTAGACATTGCAAAGAGCCAAGATCACGCCATTGCACTCCAGCCTGGGCAACGAAGTGAGATTCTGCCTCAAAAAAAAAAAAAAAGAAAAAAAAAGATTATACTGGCTTGGAAAATTGCATAGTACTAAGCTTAGCATGGCATATATGTTTATTTTGGCTTATAGCACTCAACCAGGCATTATTAACTTGAGGGAACTTAATATCCGATTCCATCCAAGCCCAGCCCATCCAAGTGGAAACCTGTCTCTACTTTTATTTCCCAGTTATTATGGTTACACCATTTAAAGGTGAATAATCTGAGGTTAAATAGTGAAAAACAAAATCTTTCAGAGAAAGGGAAATCAGATAACTCATGCTGAATCATTCCAAATGAAGAGGAAGATGAAATAATTTTCTTGTTACTACAATCAACTTCAAAATAAATCAATTTGTTCTCTCTCTTCCCTTCTATCTCTTATTCCCTCACCCCCCTTCTTCTTTATATCTAAATTGGCTTTAAGGAAATGAAGTATATTTTTACTATGTACTGAATTCACCAAATGAAGTTTAACGTTCTCTTAAAGGAAGGTGAATTAAGCCTTTTATAATATAGTCAAAAAAGGAAAACAAAAAAACTTTTTTTTTATTTTTGAGATGGAGTCTCATTCTGTCGCCCCGCTGGAGTGCAGTGGTGAGGTTTTGGCTCACTGCAACCTCCACCTCCTGGATTCAAGTGATTCTCCTGCCTCAGCCTCCCGAGTAGCTGGGACTACAGGTGCACACCACCACGCCCAGCTAATTTTTGTATTTTTAGTAGAGACAGGGTTTCACCATGTTGGCCAGGATGGTCTCAATCTCTTGACCTTGTGATCCGCCCACCTTGGCCTCCCAAAGTGCTAGGATTACAGGTGTGAGTCACTGCGCCCAGCCAACGTTTTTTATTTGTATGTGTTCTGTGATTCATCTCCCTGCTCCAACCTCCACACATGGTAGGTCTATAATGCTTCAAAGACAGAAAAAAAAAAAAAAAAGCCGGGGGTAGGGAGGTGGCAGGGATGCTTTCTGTATCCCCTTCTACCTGACCAACACCTCTGTATTTTCCAGGACATGCCTGAAATAGAAATATTATGTTTTATAAATAGAAGCACTTTTCTGTATCAGAACAAATGTACTATCTCTTTGCTCATAGTAGTTTCTTTACTTGAACAGCACACACTTTCCACTGAAACAAGGGGAGAATTTTAGAAGATTGATGTTCTTGGAAATGGATGGAAGGATTCTAGGGAGTTTTCTGCTTCCTGTTGCAGTGATCACAAAATGAAACTTGCTTTATGAAGCTTCTAGAAAGTGTAGTTTGGTAAGATCATGACTGACGTGCCTTTAAATATATTGTTTCCCATTTACCATTAGAGATGAGGCTGGCTCTAGTCTTTGAACAGAGGCAAATAACACACCCGAAATAAGTTAAAAACTGTTCTTTGGCCATATGGGGAGTCTTGTTGTCTGTTTCTACCCTTGTATTTCTCTTTTATAATTATTTTTTCATTGCTACTTATAAATTATGTGGTCTGACTAAAAGTAATGTATTCATAAGCTGCTTAAATTTCTTTAAGACAAGCATGCAAAATGGGAGGGAAGATAGAGAGAAAAAACGACAAGTACCAGAGTAGGAACCTAATAGAAAAATACCTGTGATGTGGCAGATACTAGTTTTAGATGTTTTCCTTATAACAACCTTGTGAAATAGGTGTTTTATTCCATTTTAGTCATTAAAAAAACAGCCTCTGGAATGTCAAATTACTTGCTCAAAATCATATAGCTAGGAAATAGCAGTCAAGGCTCAACCCAAGTTGGATTCCCTCATTTCAAATCCTGTGATCTTCCTATTCTCTGGTCTTCTAAACAGTTTCTCTGACACCAAAGACCAAAGCAGATAGCATCAAAAAAATAAAATAAGCGCCAAATGAGGGAAATATGTAATACTAAAACATTTACATTGCATTATTGACTGACCTCCATAGTCCCATTGACTATCTGGTTCCCAATTACAAAGTACTCTGGAGGAAATTCATGAGTTCTAAGGTAGAATGCTACAATAGATGAGAAGATTCGGACCATAGTTTCATCACTAAAAGAATTAATACTGCAGATGTTGAAATGTCGAATACAACGGGGAGTAACTGGATTTCTTCCACCACCTGGAGGGCCCATTGCAGCAATCAGCTCTATGTCCACCAGCGTGATTTTACTTGTGTCCTTAAGGTCGTACCTTAGAAAGCACACACAAAAAATTTAGATTATCTGTTATAAAGACATTAAGATGGGATGAAATATAGATCTCCCAAGAAATTTAATCAGATTTTAGCTTCTCTAAAAGGAATAACTTCAGATAACACTTTGAGTAGGAGAGAAATTTTTTTTAAAGCAGAATTTGGTTTCTCCCCTCAGTGACTGATTCTGCTACCCAGATTTTGGATATCTGGAATGACCCTTCCCTCTTACTTTTCCCTCTCTTTCCTCCTACTCTTCCTTACAGTTTGACTCTCCATTTCTCCTTTCTTATTCCAAATCTAGAAGCATGGATGAGTGATCAATCCTATTTGTAGCTGTTTATAGATAAGGTGACTATATATCTCATTTTACCTAGGACAATTCTGGCTTGTGCTTGTTGTACCGAAGTAATTATTAATAACACTCCCCTTTTACTCCAGAAATGTCACAGTTTGAACACTAAGTTATATACTAAAACTGGTTATAGCAATGTCCTGATTTTTTCTCATCTCAAACTGTATCTTCAGAGTGGATAAAGATGTCTAAATAGGATCTATACATTTTGTTATAGAAAGGGACCCATTAGGGAAAAATGAAATTTCAAAGAAGTTTTAATCAGAAATAAATAGGAAATGACATAATTTAGCTGGAACCACTCAGAGTAAAAGGTTGCTATTGTCAATAAGCCATCAAGTCTCTAATACTGAAGTTACTGCACACACAGACATATACATACAGAGGCTGGGGTAGGAGTCTATCTAGCCAGTCCTTAGACTAAAAGCATGCTAGAAAGTATGAAAATATGGTTTTTGGTAACAACCCTAATAATCAACAATAGAAGACCAGCTAAGTAAATTACGGTGACATCCACATAATATTAAAGCCAATAAAACGAATGAGTAGACAAATATGCACTGATATGGCTATTTGAGATAAATATATAAGTGTAAAATAATTTACAAAATATTACATGTAATATGAGCCTATTTTTACACATAAAAATAGACTTATATAGAAAAAAATCACTGAGGAATAGTGATTATCTCCTGATAATCACTAACTCAGGAGAGTGACTATCTTCTGAGATAATCGCAGTGATTATCTCAACAATGGTTATCTCCTGAAAGCAGAATTCCTAGGGCCTATAGTAATAACAAAAATGCAACTGTAAAATATGACTTAGCTTTGAAATTCGTCTACCCTTGTCTTGAGATAAAAATCATGGCATACTGAGGAATAGAAAAGTACATTTAAGAGGAGGAAAGGAAGAATTATTCATCCTAATTAAAAGGTGCTATATCTTACATGTGAGAAACTAACCATATCACCATAAATTGGTGTGGGGAGAATGGAAGGGTTATCCATGAGATTGCTGTCAAATACAAGCCATCTCAAAGATATGGTAGGTAGTTCCAAGCAGCCACAGAAAACATACAGTTAAAAACATGGTAGAAAAATAGGGTGCTGATTATGGTTACTTAGGTTGGGCACTACCCACAAATTCTTGACTTGGGGGAATGGTACTTTGAAGGATGTAATCTGTAAATTATTTTCAATAATTGAAACTAATAGTTGAAAAGTGCAGGCATACCCCATTTTATTTCACTTCATTTCATTAAGCTTTGCAGATACTGTGTTTTTTTACAATCTGAAAAAGTTTTTAGAAACCTGTGTTGAGCAGGTCTATAGGCACCATTTTTCCAACAGCATTTGCTTACTTCTGGTCTCTGTGTCACATTTTGGTAATACTTGCAATATTTCAAACTTTTCCATTTTTTTTATATCTGGTATGGTGATCTGCGATCTTTGATGTTACTATTGTAATTGTTTTGGAGCACCATGAATTGACCTACATAAGAAGAAAACCTTAACTGATTAAATATTGTGTGTGTTCTGACTGTTCCACTGACTGGCTGTTCCCCATCTCTCTCCCTCTTCTCAGACCTTCCTATTCCTTGAGATAAACAGTATGGAAGTTAGGCCAATTAATAATCCTCCAGGCCGGGTGTGGTGGCTCATACCTGTAATCCCAGTGCTTTAGGAGGCCAAGGTGGTGGATCACTTGAGGTCAGAAGATCAAGACCAGCCTGGCCAACATGGCAAAACCGTCTCTACTAAAAATACAAAAATTAGCCGGGTGTGGTGGTGTGTACCTGTAGTCCCAGCTACTTGGGAGGCTAGGGCATAAGAATCACTTGAACCTGGGAGGCGGAGGTTGTAGTGAGCCAAGATCACGCCACTACACTCCAGCCTGAGTGACAGAGCAAGACTTTGTCTCAAAGGCAAAAAAAAAAGCCAAAAACGTCCTAGTAAACTAGGAATAAAGGTAACTTCCTCAACTTGGTAAGGAATATCTACAAAAACCCTACAGCTAACATCATACTTAATGGTAAGAATCTCCAAGCTTTCCCACTAACATCAGGAACAAGATAAAAATGTCCCCTCTCATGACTTCTTTTCAACATCATACTAAGGGCTAGCAATAAGATGAAAAAAAAGGTATACCGACTGGGAAGAAAGGAATGAAACTATCCTTGTTTGCAGATAACATGATGATCTATAAAGAAAATCTCAAAGAACTACAAAAAACTCCTGGAACTAATAAGCAATTATAGCAAGCTTGTAAAGAGTTACCATGTAAAATTCAATCACCTTTTTACATACCAGTAATAAACAAGTGGAATTTGAAATTAAAAGTACAACACCTGGGCCAGGCACAGTGGCTCATGCCTGTAATCCCAGCATTTTGGGAGGCCGAGGAAGGTGGATCACTTGAGGTCAGGAGTTCAAGACCAGCCTAGCCAACATGGTGAAAACCTGTCTCTACTAAAAACACAAAAATTAGTTGGGCATGGTGGCACATGCCTGTAATCCCAGCTACTTGGGAGGCTGAGGCAGGAGAATCTCTTGAACCCAGAGGCAGAGGTTGTAGTGAGCCAAGATCATGCCACTGCACTCCAGCCTGGGTGACAGAGTGAGACACTGTCTCAAAAAAAAAAAAAAAAAAAAAAAAAAAAAGAAAGAAAGAAAAGTACAACACCATTTACATTAGCACCCACCCCCAATGAAATACTTAGGGATATATCTAACAAAATATATAGAAGATCTATATGAGGAAAACTGTAAAACCCTGAAGAACTAAATCGAAGTACTAAATAAAAAGAGGTATTCCATGTTCATGGATAGGAAAACAATATTATGAAGATGACAGTCCTTCCAAACTTGACATGTAGATTCAACGCAATCCCAATCTAAATCCCAGCAAGTTATTTTTTGGATATTGAGAAACTGATTCTGAAGTTGATATGGAGAGGCCAAAGTCCCAGATTAGTCAACACTATTGAAAGAGAAAAACAAAGTCAGAGGACTGACACACCCAACTTTAAGGCTTACTATAAAACTACAGTAGTCAAGACAATCTGGTACTGGCAAAGCAGACAAATAGGTCAATGGAACAGAATAGAGAGCCCAGATATAGACCCAATAAATACAGTTAACTAATCTTTGACAAAGGAGCAAAGGCAATATTATGGAGCAAAGATAGTCTTTTCAAGGAATGCTGCTGGGCACAGTGGCTCATACCTATAATCCCAGCTACCTAGGAGGCTGAGGCAGATGGATTGCTTGAAGCTAGAATTTTGAGAACAGCCTTGACAACATAGCAAGACCCCTGTCTTTTAGCAAAAGACAAATATCGTTAAACAACTGGACATACACGTGTAAAAAATTGACCTATACACAATTTTACACCCTTTACAACAATTAACTAAAAATGGATCACAGGCCTAAATATTAAATGCAATACTATAAAACTCCTAGGAGATAGCAAAGGAGTAAACCTAGTTGAACTTGGGTATGGCAATGACTTTTTCAGACACAACACCAACAGATTGGTTGAGAAACTGGACTTCATTAAAATTAACAACTTCTGCTCTGCCAAAGACAATGTCAAGAGAATGAGAAGACAGGCCTGACTTGGAGAAAATAATTGCAAATGACACATCTGATAAAGGACTATTATCCAAAATATACAAAGAACTCTTAAAACTAAATGATAAGAAAGCAAACAACCCAATTTAAAAATGGCCAAAGACCCTAACAGACACCTCACCAAGTAAGATACAGAGAGGGCAAATAAACATATTAAAAGATGCTTCTTACCGTATGTCATCAGGGAAATGCAAATTAAAACAATGAAATACCACCACACACTCATTAGAGTGGCCAAAATCTAGAACACTGACAATACCAAATGCCAGAGAAGACGTGGAGCAACACTAACTCTCATTCATTCCTGATGGGAATGCAAAATGGTATGGTTATTTTGGAAGGTAGTTTGGTGGTTTCTTACAAAACTAAACGTATTCTTACCATATTGTTCAGCAATTGTGTTCCTTGGTATTTACTCAAAGAAGTTGACAACTTATGTCCATGTAAAACCTATGCACAAATGTTTATAGCAACTTTATTCATAATTGTTGAAAACTTGGAAGCAACCAAGATGTCCTTCAGTAGGTTAATGGATTAGTTAATTGTGGTTAACCAGACAACTGAATGTTACTCAGTGCTAAAAAGAAATGAGCTATCAAGCCATGAGAAGATATGAATGAAACTCAAATGCATATTACTAAATGAAAGAAGCTAATTTGAAAAGGCTATATACTGTATTACTCCAACTATATGACATTCTGAAAATGGTTAAACTATAGAGAGAAAAAGAAATTAATGGATCTCTTACAAAGGGGCTGAAGTTGGGGGAGGAATGAAAAGAGAACACAGAGGATCTTTACAGCAGTGAAAATTCTCTGTATGATATTATAATGATGGACACATATCATATACATTTCTCCAAACCCATAGCATGTACAACACATAAAGCAAACCCTAAAGTAAACTATGGACTTTGGGTGATTGTGATATACCAACGCAGGCTTATCATTTGTAACAAATGTGCCAATTTGGTGGGGATGTTGAGATTGAGGAGGCTATGCATGTGTCGGGGGGCAAGGAGTATACAGGAAATCTCTGTACCTTCCTCTTAATTTAAAATAGTCTTTTCGAAATATATTAGAGAGGCTTCATGTATAGGAAAATCTGAGCAACTATTCTTTTCCCTAAATATCTTGAAAAATGTATTATTTTACTTTAAAAACCTAAAATAAAAACTGAGGTATAACTTCAGCATAACTTATCGAATTAAATAGTTACCAATGTCCACAGTCAAAAAACTGTCGTAATAATTCAATAGGTGGTTGAGCTCCATACTTCTCCAATGCAGGCATATTCATATCATCTATAAAAATTATACACTTCTTTCCCATAGGTGGTCCAAAGACTCCTTTGCGTCTTTTATCCAATCTAGCCATGATAATGTTCTAAAATATGAAGGAAGAATGGTATATTTACCTATAATTGAATTAGGGATTTATCATACTTATATTAAATCAGTATCAACAAGTAAAACAACCCATTTTGCCAGAATCCATGGGATTTTTACCAGTAACAATTACTATTTGCTTAATTTATCAATGATTAACTTAACATAAAATACCATATTTAACACCAGAAAAAAAAAGTTTAAGTTTCTGTAGGGAAATCATACCAAGCAGCATTATGTGTGTGTTTTTATTTATTCATATTTAGGGTGATACTAAACTTCACAATCAACATCATTCAAACATTTGTTGAAATCCTATGCACTCACAATTGTTACACATGTATATTTATGTATTATCTTTGTATAGTATATGCATGTTTCTACAACATTTCTACAAGTGTCACCAAAATTTCTACAATATTTTCCTCACTGGATAACCAACATATTTTTATTTTTTTCTTCACTGAATAATTTTACTTTCCAACTTTTATTTTAGATTCAGGGAGTACACATGCAGGTTATATGGGTAATTGTGTGTTGTGAGGGTTTGGTGTACAGATTATTTCATCACTCAGGTAATAAGCATAGTACCCAATAGGCAGTTTTTCAATCCTCACCCTCCTCCCCCGCTCCACTCTCAAGGAGGCCCTGATTTCTGTTGTTCCCTTCTTTGTGTCCATCCGTACTCAACAATGTATCTATTAATTTTAACTTACTTAATATTTAAATGCATTAATCTTTACATTTGGCAGCTTTTTATAGCTAAAATAAATGTGGATGCTTTCTTATAGTTCTAATACTTTGGGAACTCACTTGTCCATTGGAAAAATAAACCAAAATTATTTTCATTCAAATAAAGCTCCACAGTAAAGGAGTTCTAAATTTGTAAGATTTTGAAGTTCAGTGAAGAACATAGACTTAAAACAACAGAAATGAGGCCAGGAGAGAATGGATAGGTATAAATTTGGAAATGTATGATAAAAACGGCAATTAGAAACAGTTTCATGAAATGTGTCAAGGTCAGTTTCACCTTGACACATTTGAGGGCAAAGGGTAGGATGCACTCACATGGTTCCTGTCACAGGCCCATGGTTTGAAAGGTCCAGGGAGCAGCAAATGCCCCTAATGACCATCCAGGAGGGTCTTGAGAGAACAATTCAAAGTTCTCTCATTTCTCCCTGGGTCTCCCCACCCCTGCCCCACCCTATGTGTGTGTTTGTGTGTGTGTGAGTGTGTGTGTGTCTTTTATATTCCCTTTACCAGTTAAGAAATCGTTGCTTCTTCTCAGGCTTAAAAAAAAAACAGGTGATAAAGCTCAGTAACCCACTATTAACGTAAAAATGTTCTCTGAAACTTGTATCATTAATTCCAAAAACTTGTAACTCCCCAAACATTTGAAAGTTTTAAATTCATAGATTTACACAGTTGCTTATTTAATGTACAATTTTAAACACTGAGCAAATAAGACAAAAAAATTAACGATAGACCCCCATTTCTGTCTTTAAACTAACCTGAACCTGATTGGCGCTGGTCCGTGCAGATAAGTTAATATAAAAAGGAAAGTACTGGTCCTTTTCCAAGTGATTCATTAGCTTATCCTTCACATACACAGATTTTCCTGTACCCGTTGGACCCACAAAAAGGAGTGGCCTTAATGAAAACAATGAATATATTATTCAAAATGGAAAAAAAGTCAGAATACATTTCTACTAAAGGAGGCGGTAGTTAAAAGTGTACATAAGAATCAAATCATCTTCATTAAAAACTCATTTTTACCTATAGTTATTTCATGAAAGACAGATAAAAGTAATGATTGGCATATATTTTTGCACAACATTGCAGAGACTTTATTTTGTGTCTTTTTATTTTTTATTCTTTTTTTTTTTTTTTTTGAGACAGAGTCTCACTTAGTTCCCCAGGCTGGAGGGCAGTGACGTGATCTTGGCTCACTGCAACCTCCACCTCCCAGGTTCAAGCAACCCCCCTGCCTCAGCCTCCCAAGTAGCTGGGACTACAGGCATGCACCACCACACCTGGCTAATTTTTGTATTTTTAGTAGAGACGGGTTTCACCGTGTTGGCCAGGCTGGTCTTGAACTCCTGACCTCAAGTAATCCACCTGCCTTGGCCTCCCAAAGTGCTGGGATTACAGGCATGAGCCACCATGCTTGATCTATTTTTATTTTTTGAGATAAGGTTTCACTCTGTCACTCAGTCTGGAATGAAGTGGCACAATCATAGCTCACTGCAGCCTTGAACTTCTGGGCTCAAGTGATCCTCCTGCCTCAGCTTCCCAAGTAGCTAGGACTACAGGTGGCATGCCACCACACCAGGCTAATTTTTTTACTTTTAACGTTTTAAAGAGACAGGGCCCGGCTATGTTGCCCATGCTGGTCTCAAACTCTTGGCCTCAAGTGATCCTCTTGTCCCAGCCTCCCAAAGCACTGGGATTACAGACAGGAGCCACTGGGACCAGCCTTATAGATACTTTAATAGTAATAAACTATTATTTGAATAGATGTAATATCGCTATATATAAAACACTTATGAAACAAGTAATAATATGCTTAACTTTTCAGAGCAGAAAGTCAAAGTCTGTCTCCTCAGAAAAGAGTTGTATTTGTACTTTTAGGGTACAGACATGGGGGCAGCATGTGAATAACAAGGGGATGACAATAAGACAGCTAGCTGTAGGCTGTTTCCCAGTGATCTCAATAGCCAAAGGTTTTGTGAGAGATGGAATGACAGTCAATTCTAAAGCTAACAGTTATGTATATGTATACTGTTAACAGCATTTTTAAATCAATTCAATTACAAACTGAAAATATTTGTCCAAAAGCAAACTCTAAGGAATTCCCCATTCAGTGAATGGGGAATTCAAGCAAGGTTTCCCATTCTTAAATGATCATAACTAATTTTAAGGGGAAAAGTAATCATATGAGTTTATGTTCACAAAACTCTGGAGAATCCCTGTTTGAGAAATGCTGCATTAAAAATAAAATACTATCATTTTGAATGATAACTTGTTACTACACAATACATAAAGACAAACACAGGCCAGGCGCGGTGGCACACGCCTGTAATCCCAGCACTTTGGGAGGCCGAGGCAGGTGGATTACCTGAGGTCAGGAGTTCGAGACCAGCCTGACCAACATGTAGAAACCCCATCTCTATTAAAAATACAAAATTAACTGGGCATGGTGGCAAATGCCTGTAATCCCAGCTACTTGGGAGGCTAAGGCAGGAGAATCGCTTGAACCCGGGAGGCAGAGGTTGTGGTGAGCTGAGATTGTGCCATTGCACTCCAGCCTAGGCAAGAAGAGTGAAACACCTTCTAAAAAAAAATTTAAAAAAAGACAAATACAAAGGCCAGCACTGAAACTGAGTAATAGCCATATTCAGTTCTAAGGGGTCATCTAAGTGAGCCAAACTATGCTAGTATTAATTTTGAAAACTGTTACTGAAATATGAACACAAAATTAAAGTTCTTTTAGAAACAGAGTGACCCCTGAGAATTCATCTACATGTTCCAGTCTGAGTAACATTAGCTCTATGAAAATTTATTAAAATAGTATTAATAAATTTCTGTTCTTAACTTGGGGTCCATGAGCCAACTAAAAACATTCATAGAATTCAGAGAATCTGTGAACTTGAATGACAAAAATGTTATACCTTTACTTTTTGCTATCCTCTAAAATGTAGCAATTGTATGAATAGTACCTGTGTCTTTGTCACCAGTAGAAATCATAGCTATTATCCTACACATTACAATTGTTACAGTATCTCAAAAATATCACTCATGCCCATTCCTTCTTCAAAGGTATTATAGTCATCAGATCCACTGACAGATCTTGTTATTTAATGTGTTAATAAAGAAACATATATATATTACTACTATGGCCCAAATATGTTCAATATTTTCATAAATGTATTTCGATATAAAAAGAAAAAAACAGGCTGGGCACGGTGGCTCAAGCCTGTAATCCCAGCACTTTGGGAGGCCAAGGTGGATGGATCATTTGAGGCCAGGAGTTCAAGACCAGCCTGGCCAATATGGTGAACCCCCGACTCTACTAAAAATACAAAAAATTAGCCTGGCGTGGTGGCAGGTGCCTGTAATCCCAGCTACTCAGGAGGCTGAGGTAGGAGAAGTGCTTGAACCCAGGAGGCAGAGGTTGCAGTGAGCAGAGATGCTGGAATGCACTGCATTCCAGCCTGGGAGACAGAGCGCAAGCGACTTGTCTGAAATAAATAAACAAATAAATAAATATATATATGGTTTACTTTATAATTCTATTTGTACTTATTTAAAAGTATTATTCTGACAAATGGTTCTTGGCACAAAAGAACTGTATTGCCAGGCACGGTGTAATCCTAGCACTTTGAGAGGCTGAGGTGGGTGGATTGCTTGAGCTCAGGTGTTCAAGATGAGTCTGGGCAACCTGTCTCTACAAAAAAAAAAAAAAAAAAAAAAAAAAAAGCCAGGCATAGTGGTGCATGCTTGTAGTCCCAGCTACTTGAGAGGCTGAGGTGGGAGGATCGCTAGAGCCTGGGAAGTCAAGACTGCAGTGAGCCGTGATCGCACCACTGTAGTCCAGCCTGGGTGACAGAGTGAGACCCTGTCTCAAAAAAAAAAACAAAAAACTGCTATACTAGAAATGTCACAGAATTGGCAATTGTCTTCCTTGCTTAGCTTCTAAATGCAAAAATGCAACTACGGACACAAAATAGGGGTAAACTAATTTTCCCTCATAAGCTATTTTTCCTGTTTTTTTGTTTTTTTAAATGAGATAAAATTGGTCACAGAATGCATTCAGGAACAGCTTCTTTATCAAAAAAATGACATTTATGATTATATAAACTTGTCTAGTTTAAATAGTATGAATGGTAAATTATACCTAGTGTTTTAAAAGAAAAATAACTATTAAATGTTATTAAGAAAGTTGGTATGGATATGCAAACAGTACACATCTAGGCTTTTGATCAGTTTCATGTGTCTTTACTTTTGATGGACTCTTCTGAGTTTTTAATATTCACCTTAAGTTATGGAATCCAGAACTGGCATAGGACATAGGTGAAAAATGCTAAATGTAATAGGAGAATGTGGATCATGGTTACTTTGATGTCTCAGGAGTACGCTGAATCTTTAATTAGACTGCATACCTTTTTAACAGTAACACAGCAGCAGGCTTTCAGTGTGCTGTTACAAATCAAAAATGTAAGGCAACTTATGAGGCAGCAAAGTATGATGGCAAGGGCTTTGGAGTGGGCAATGGGAAATGTGTATTCCAGGTTTGCCAATAGCAACAGATGTCACTTTCAACATGCCAACAAGTCCCCCAGGATTTCAGTTACCTGAAAAGGGATGATCTCGAATACTTCAAAAATTGCCATAATCCTATTAAAATGGTACTTTTACATTCAAAATGCTTGTTTATAGCAGAGTTCCTTACTTTGCATAGGTAATACTCAAATCCATTAGAAACGTATATCTAATTGTGTCCATCGTAGGGACTATGATATCTTGAATCTTGATTTGTTTATCTCCTAAATTAGTATTTTTAATTAATTCATTCCAATGGACCCAGCGACCTTTGTTTTTCAACTACAAGAAAATATAAGTTTTAAAATATTAAAACCATGTACTTGCTGTATCTGAAAGGCTCTTTTCAACATGTATACTATTATATTAGCTTTTAAAAACTTAAGTCTTCCCCCTTTTAATGAAATATTACATTCACATAAAAGAACACATATAGCATATTTTAAGTCATAAGCAGATTAATAAAATAAGCATTCATGAAAACACCAATTTAAAAAATATATTTTTTCAATTTTCATTTTTAATAACCTGAAAAATATAATGTAACTTTTGTTATCACATATTCAACATATCTAACATTTCAGATACTTTTGCCTTTATGTCTTCTTAACACTCCAATATTCCCCAAATGCCTTCAAGATGTCCTTTTGCATACATTGAGTATTTATTTGAAAGCCACTCTAATGTACTTCAAGTTACAATTTCCTGGGTTTTGGCTTTACTTTTTTATATTTTAAAACAAATGGGCAATAATCTAACTAAAAATAAAATATCACATAAAACCACTATATTTGTTTCTCTAACATTATTCTCTTTGGCATTTTGATCCAGGCTGAAACAACCAGGATATATATCAGCATAGCTGTATTAATTGTTATGATACTGAAATTCTTCTGAATCACTGGCTAAATAACTGCTGTCCTGACACCCCTGAGTGCCTCCCAATCTTCACTCCACCCCCAACCATTATCTTCTTCTGCAGGTTGTTTTGACCCCTCCCTGGAGAACCCCAGCCCTTCCACTGTTAAGTAAAAAAAGTTTTAATACCTGCCAAAGTAGCCCCCTAAGACCCGATTCCAGAGCTGTGGCTGGAATCTCACAATCTTTTCCTATTTTCCAGCAAATTGTACACGTATATGTTACATGTTTGAATTGTGGTAACTTTGTAAGTTTGGGTGAATGTTTCTTTAGTAATTCATATTTGTATTTTTTTAAGTTTTAGCTTTTATTTTTATCAACATTATATATGTACATATTTTACAGTCAAAAGATTTACAAGGTTAAGAAAAACAGCATTTCCCTACTGTCACTTTCCCTTTCCTAGAGACCTTCACCTTCTCTAAGCTGGATAGTTTGGTATTTATTTTCGATTCTTAAAGAATATGCTTGTGGGCCGGGCGCAGTGGCTCACGCCTGTAATCCTAGCACTTTGGGAGGCTGAGGTGGGTGGATCACGAGGTCAGGAGACTGAGACCATCCTGGCTAACACGGTGAAACCCCGTCTCTACTAAAAATGCAAAAAATCAGCCAGGCGTGGTGGCGGGCACCTGTAGTCCCAGCTACTCGGGAGGCTGAGGCAGGACAATGGCTTGAACCCAGGAGGCGGAGCTTGCAGTGAGCCGAGATTGCGCCACCGCACTCCAGCCTGGACAATAGAGCAAGACTCCGTCTCAAAAAAAAAAAAAAAAAAAAAAGAAAGAAATAAAGAATATGCTTGTGTTACCACCTCTTTTTTCACTTTTAGAGATTACTTTATTGACTTCCCGCTATGGCTAATGAGGATGAAACTCTCTTTCTGGCCAGATTCTTAAAATTCTGTGTTAGCATGGTTTTGGGGAAAGGGTCCTGCACTGTCAGTCAGGAGAACTTGAGTCAAGTTCTGGCTCTGCTAGCCATTAATCTTTTTAGGTTTACTTCCTTATCATAAAACTTGAGATTTAAGTGAAATTATAACTAATGCTCTATCTAGATCTTATGGGGGATGAAATAAAATTTGTATGAATCAAATAATTATTCAAATACTTGCTGTTTAAAAAATGCTTTGGGGAATTATTTAATAAAATGGAAAAATAAATTTAATTTAAATGTGAAATTATAAAAATATTATTAAAGCAAATTTATTTATACAGCCAATAAGTTATGGGAGGTGAAACTAAAAGAAGGGAGCTTAAAAAGCTCACCGCAGGAGTCAAAATAACTCTAGGATGAAAACCCAGGAGCTTTGTCTGCTGGCCTAAGCCTTTGTGTTTTATCTTACCATAACAAGCTTTTTATGTCATACCTCATACATGTAGTCATAGACCAGGCCTTTTTCATCAAATGGGCATTCCCATTTACCCACAGAATCTGGCACTGGGTTTTCATCATCTTTTCCCAGTATGATTAATCGTATGAAAGTATCAAAAACACGACGGCCATCTGTATCACAACTTCCTCCAATCGACCAAATCAAAGAGAATATAAAGCAAGCCTGTTGGTGGAGAAAAAATTTAACTTATAGCAATTATTTTAAAAGGCATTTTAGGAGAAACATTAACCAAAATTCAATATATTAGGATATGCTCAACTTACTTGAACAAGGTCGTAAGTGTAAATAAAGTAGAATGGAGCACTGCTAAGCCACATAGTCATTTCTCTGACAATTTTTATCAAAATGTTTGCATGTCTTTTTTTTTTTTTTTTTTTTTGAGACAGCGCCTCTCTCTGGTTGCCCAGGCTGGAGTACAGTGGCACCATCTCAACTCACTGCAACCTCAACCTCCCCAGTTCAGGTGATTCTGGTGTCTCAGCCTCCCAAGTAGCTGGGACTACCAGGGTACACCACAAAGCCTGACTAATTTTTTGTTTTTGCTTTTTAAGTAGAGACAGGGTTTTGCTATGTTACCCAGGCTGGTCTTAAACTCCTAGACTCAGCAATCTACCTGCCACAGCCTCCTAGAGTGCTAGGATTACAGGCATAAGCTACCGTGCCTGGCCCAATATCTATCAAAAAAAATTTTTTTTTCTTTTTTGAGACAGTCTCACTCTCTCACCCAGGCTGGAGTACAGTGGTGCGATCTCAGCTCACTGCAACCTCTACTTCCCAGGTTCAAGCTATTCTCCTGCCTCAGCCTCCCGAGTAGCTGGGACTACAGGCGCCCACCACCACGGGGTTTCACCATGTTAGCCAGGATGGTCTCGATCTCCTGACCCCGTGATCTGCCCGCCTCAGCCTCCCAAAGTGCTGGGATTACAGGTGTGAGACACCGCGCCCGGCCTCTAACAAAATTTTAAATACCCATACTGGCTGGGTACAGTGGTTCACACCTGTAATCCCAGAGCTTTGGAAGGCCAAGGAAGAAGGATTGCTTGAGGCCAGGAATTTGAGACCAGCCTGGGCAACATAGTAAGACCCCATCTCTACAAAATATTTTTTAAAACAAAAATAAATAAATAAAATGTCCTTACCAAATAACCTAGGAATTTCTCTTGTGGGAGTTTATACTCAAATATATTTCCACCTGTGAAAATGACACATGTACAAGAATATTCACTGCAGCACTATTTGTAATAGCAAAAGATCAAAAGCAACCCAAATTGTTCTTCAGAAATGGTCTGCTTAATTGGATTCTGCTAATACACTGAAATACATGCAGCTGTTAAAAAACAAGGTCACTCTATAAGCACTAATATGAAAATGACATATTACAATAGAGAAACGATGCAAATCAGTAGACAATGTATGCTAATGTATTTAAAAATGTATACATGTAAAAGAGTGTGTGCATAAAATACTTCTAGAATTCTATATAGGGCACCGGCAATATTAGCTGCCTTCAGTGTGGCTGGGGGACTGCTATGGAAAAGTGGGGAAAACCCACTTTTGCCTTTTGAATTTTACTCTAGGTACATGCCTTATCAAGTCCAAAAGTAAATATATATTCAGAGAAAAATTTCACCTAGATATCAATCTGTATAACTCTCTTGAAGTGATTCTGAACCACTTGAAAGGTTTAGGTTTTAGGTTTACCAACAGAATAAAATGTTCAGGAAAAATGCAACTTGAAGGTTATATAGGTAAACTATTCCCATGATACTTTTATAAACAGTAACACTGATAGATATGGAAGAAAGCTAAAACTTAGTTTTGTAAAAGGCGGTTCCAAACCTAGGGAGAAAAAGGAATAAATAAATTATACTTCAAACATGTCTGTTCAATATCTTCTAAAGCGGAAGGATATAAAGGCGAAAAAGGAGGACAAAAGGAAGGGATTTGGTTAGCAGGAAACCCTGGAATGTGAGATGTCTGAGGCAGCAGATACTTTGGGCAGCAAATGGAAGGAAAAACAATGGGAGGGAACTGCTATGCTGTGAGGGGAGAGGGAGGAGATCAATGCATTTAGGAATAAGGTGGTGCATGGGAAACCAGCATAGACCAGGAAAAAGACACTAAAAACCTCTTTCCTCAGGCTCTTGATAATCTGTTTACTTGTGCCATTCCCTCTGGCCTAGCTAACCAAGACTACTGACTTCTCCCTACCTGAGGCCTCCATGGATTCTGCCTCCAACACTCCACCTAGCTGGCTGGATGCCTATTCCTGGTTTTATTTTTTTTTGAGATGGAGCAATTCTCCTGCCTCAGCCTCCTGAGTAACTGGGACTACAGGCGCCTGCCACCACGCCTGGCTAATTTTTGTATTTATAGTAGGGATGGGGTTTCACCATGTTGGCCAGGCTGGTCTCGAACTCCTGACCTCAAATGATCTGCCCACCTTGGCCTCCCAAAGTTTTGGGATTACAGGCATGAGCCACGGCACCCAGCCTACTCCTGGTCTTTCATAGCTAGCTTTTATGTTGCCTAAATGCTGGCTTAACATTAATTAATAAAATTAATTCACCTAATGTCCAAATTTGTTTAATATTAAATCACTTTATTGTTGATCAAATTATAATCTTTCATAATAGGATAGTTGACCGAGCATGGTGGCTCACAACTGTAATCCCAGCACTTTGGGAGACCGAGGTGGGCGAATCACCTGAGGTCAGGAGTTCAAGACCAGCCTGGCCAACATGGTGAAACCCTGCCTTTACTAAAGATAAAAAAAATTAGCTCAGTGTGGCAGTGCGCACCTGTAATCCCAGCTACTCGGGAGGCTGGGGCAGGAGAATCACTTGAACCCAGGAGGCAGAGGATGCAGTGAGCTGAGATCGCACCACTGCACTCCAGCCTGGGCAACAGGGCAAGATTCCATCTCAAAAAAAAAAAAAAAATTGGATAGTTGCCAGGCGCGGTGGCTCACGCCAGTAATCCCAGCACTTTGGGAGGCCGATGCGGGTGGATCACGAGGTCAGGAGTTCAAGACCAGCCTGGCCAAGATGGTGAAACTCCGTCTCTACTAAAAATACAAAAATTAGCCAGGTGTGGTGGCAGTCACCTGTAATCTCAGCTACTCGGGAGGCTGAGGGAGGAGAATCACTTAAACCTGGGGGAGGTGGGGGGTGGAGGTTGTATTAAGCTGAGATCACGTCACTGCACTCCAACCTGGGTGACAGAGTGAGACTCTGCCCTGTCTCCAAAAAAAAAAAAAAAAAGATAGTTTTGGTTCCTTGTGACATTTTAATTTCTTTAAAGTGTTTTTTATTATCAGAATACCAGGTGTTAGGGCAACTTTAGTGTCTCCAGCTATTCTTTCAATGCTCACCAAAAAATAGCTTTGGATCTTGTCATGTCTTTCTCAATATAAACATCATGTACCAGAAGCATAATTTATTTATAATTAAAAACTACATGAAGTATAAAACCAACCATAATCCAAACACGAATGTGCTTGCTAGTAGGATCATTTTCTACCACATTGCAAAGTAGCACTTCAAAGAGGCGTGTGAGAGATACAACCACGTTGCTGTTGCTTGTAGGAATCAGTTCCTGCAAGGTGAAAATAAGATAACTTTCTTAATTTTCATCTTATTTAGAAAATAAGAAAAACACTTTATTTTTAAAAACTGATAAAAGCATACATGGTTTTAATAAGGTCTTTTTTTTTGTTTTTGAGATGGGATCTCACTCTGTCATCCAGGCTGGAGCCCAGTTGCACAATCATAGCTCACTGCAGCCTCCAACTCCTGGGCTTAAGGGATCCTCCTACCTCAGCCTCTCAAGTAGTTAGGACTATAGGTGAGCACCACCAGGCTATTTTTTTTTTTCCCAGATAGGCTCTCACTCTGTCACGCAGGCTAGAGTGCAGTAGTGTGATCACAGCTCAGTGCAGCCTCAACCTTCTGGACTCAGGCAGTCCTCCTGCCTCAGCCTCCCAAAGTGCTGGGATGACAGGCATGAGCCACCACAACTAGCCTCATAAGGTCTTTATAATATTTAAACTTAAAAACTTTAAGTAGGCATGATAAAACATTTCTCAAATATTTTAGTTTCCCATATTATATTACACAATTATACATAACAATTGTACAATCGCACATAATACATTCTAAATTCTCTGACAAATGAAAACTAGCTACTGCAAGAGAATAAACAGTGTTCTAAGGATAGCAGAAATGAAGTCTCTAAGAGCCATTCATTTATTTATTCAACAAACATTTATGAAAAACATACTATACCTATGTGGCAAGCTAGGAGATATGGAAATAAAAGAATCCCTAAAAATGGATGATATTAAAATTAAATAGACAAAAATAATATGATGTAATAATGATATGACAGAGAAAGTCTCAGGGTAGGAGGCGGCTGCTAGAGTGCTTGGGATAAACAATTGGAGGAGTGCACAAGGAGGAAAACGGGAGAGAGATACACCAAAGAGGGCTTCCTGGAGGAAGTAATAATAGCTGAGCTGAATTTGGAAGGAAAATGTAAGTTTGCCAGGTGAACAAGGGAAGGATATTCAAGGCAGGGGAATGTATACAAAGAAATGGAGATGTGAGCAGACACAGATTATTAAGGGGATTCTGTAGGATATGAAAATAGGGTATGAAGGAGGGATGCCCAAAAATTAGGCTTGAGAAATACACAAGAGTCAGATCCTAAAAGGTTTTTATATGCTGTATTAAGGATTTAATTACAAGAGGAAGAGAGTTCCAAGGGAGGGTTTTAAATAAAGGAATAAACAGAAAGGATTTGTGTTTTGGAAACTTCATTCTGTAGCAGGATACAGACTGGACCAGAGCAGCTGCATGGTATTGATTCAGGTAGGAAGTGATGATGGTCAGAATTGAGATACTATAACGGGAAGGGTGGGGCGAGGAGGTGGCTGCAGAAACAGGGATGGAAAGAAAACAGGTATAAACTTTATCAAGAAGGGAAAATCAATAGATCCTGGGGCCTGGACCAGGTGGCTCATGCCTGTAATCCCAGCACTTTGGGAGGCCGAGGTGGGCAGATTGCTTGAGGCCAAGAGTTAGAGACCAGCCTGGCCAACATAGCAAAACCTCATCTCTACAAAAAAAAAAATATACAAAAATTAGCCAGGTGTTGTGGTGCACGCCTGTAATTGTGCCTGTAATCCCAGCTACCTGGGAGGCTGAGGCACGAGAATCACTTGAACCTGAAAGGTGGAGTGCCACTGCACTCCAGCCTGGGAGATAAAGAGAGACTGTCTCAGAAAAAAAAAAAAAAAAAAAATCTGGGGACTGGATGAGAAAGAACTATGAGAAGAAAATCCATTACTCATTATGTGGAAAGGTGAAGCCTATTTTGTATTATTTATAATATATAGCATTAGAGTTTTAAAACTATAAGGGACTTTGTCTATTTTCTCTATGAAGACACTATACAGAATCTTCATAAAGTGGAATTGCTCATTTTTTTCTTTTAAATGGCACTTTTTTCTATGCCTAGAACATTTTAGGATAAAACTGAGTATCTCTTTCCCCTCTGTATATCAATATATTTATTTATATGTAAGAAGCGAATGTGTGTGTGTGTGTGTGTGTGTGTGTGTGTGTGTAGGAGATGGTGGAAATGGTTGAACAATGGTCCCCAAAAAGATATTTCCATGTTCTAACCTGAGGAACCTATAAATGTGATCTTATATGGAAAAAGGTCTCAGAAGAAGCAATTAAGTTAAAAATCTCAGGAGGAAGACATCATTCTGGATTATCTAGTGGGTGCTAAATCCAAGTCCTTGTAACTGTCACATGGAGGAGAGACATGTGGAGTAGAAGGCCATGTGAAGATTGGCCGGATGCGGTTGCTCATGCCTGTAATCCCAGAACTTTGGGAGGCCAAGGTGGGTGGATCAACTGAGGTCAGGAGTTCGAGACCAGCCTGGCCAACATGGAGAAACCATGTCTCTACTAAAAATACAAAAAAAATTAGCTGGGTGTGGTGGCATGTGCCTGTAATCCCAGCTACTCGGGAGGCTAAGGCAGGAGAATTGCTTCAACGTGGGAGACAGAGGTTGCGGTGAACCAAGATCGCTCCACTGCGCTCCAGCCTGGGTGACAGAGCAAGACAGAGCAAGACTCCATCTCAAAAATAAAATAAAATAAAAAGAAGGCCATGTGAAGATGGAAGAAGTTGGAGTTATGTAGCCACAAGCCAAGGAACACCTGAGGCTACCAGAATCTGGACAAGGTAAGAAAAGAGTCTCCCTTAGAGCTTCCAAGGAAGTATAGCCCTCTACAAACATCCTGATTTTGGACTTCTGGTCTCCAGAACTGTGAGAGAATCAATTTCTGGTTTTTGGGTGTTTTTTGGTTTTGGGGTTTTTTTTTTTCTGAGACGGAGTCTTGCTCTGTCGCCCAGGCTGGAGTGCAGTGGCGTGATCTCGGCTCACTGCAACCTCCATCTCCTGGGTTCCAGTGATTCTCCTGCCTCAGCCTCCCGAGTAGCTGGGATTACAGGCATGTACCACCATGCCCGGCTAATTTTTATATCTTTAGTAGAGACAGGGTTTCACCATATTGGCCAGACTAGTCTCAAACTCCTGACTTCAAGTGATCCGCCCACCTCAGCTTCCCACAGTGTGCTGGGATTATAGGAGTGAGCCACCGTGGCTGTAGCTTTAGCCATCAAGTTTGTGGCAATTTGTTATGACAGCCCTGGGAAGCTAATACAATATGTAAAGTTTTCTCATAAAATACTAAATATTGAATAACTCATAAACTCACTAAATGTACATTGAGTTTTTAGAGGCACATATTTAAAATAATTTGAAATACGGAAAGTAATTAGAATTTTTAAAATTTTAGACACTATGGTTGTATACAAATAGTTTAGCTGGAATAATTCAACCCCTGAGTTATGCAGCTATAACTTAAGCAATATAAAACCAACGGTGGATAGTAAATGCATAAGGACAAACTGGTTTTAGTTATTCATTCTACCAACCACTGTGACTTTAGACTTAGTCAAGTTGAATGGAAACAAAGAAACTTGAATAGGTCAGAGAATTATAGGATTACCTTGCATTTTTTCTTACGCTGGTTTAAAGAGGGTGGTATTAACCAGGCAAAAAGTCCTCTCAGAAGAGCTTGATATTCTGGTTCACACAGAGGTCCTTTCAGTGAATTCAACCAAGAAGACACAAGTGGTTCCCATCCTAACTGTGAAGGCTCCAAATAAATCATACCACAACGACTTACAGTGGCAGGCTAGAGAAAAAAGGCAACTTTTTGCACTGTTGTTTTTATACCAGTGGCACCTGGCAATTATCAACTATTTCTTAAGATGACTTATGAGATCCTTTATAATCTAGCTCCCATCTGCTTCACATAGCTTCACACAGTCTAGACGTTCCCCATACAGAAAACTATTTGCAGTTCAGTTCCCCAGATATGTAAAGGCTCCATGTCTTTAAACATTATCTCGATCTGGAAACGCCTAGGATTTCCAAATCCAATCTCCCTGGAGAAGTCTTACATCTTCCTCAAAATCAGATCAAACACTCAGTTACCTTCCATGGTGCTCCTCTATCCATCCTCCTCACAGATGCTCACTCCTCTCCACACATTTTTTTTTTTTTTGAGACGGAGTTTCACTCTTGTTGCCCAGGCTGGAGTGCAATGGTACCATCTCGGCTCACTGCAACCTCCACCTCCTGGGTTCAAGCGATTCTCCTGCCTCAGCCTCCCAAGTAGCTGGGATTACAGGCATGCACCACCATGCCTGGCTAATTGTGTATTTTTAGTAGAGATGGGGTTTCTCCATGTTGGTCAGGCTGGTCTTGAACTTCCCACCTCAGGTGATCTGCCCGCCTCAGCCTCCCAAAGTGCTGGAATTACAGGCGTGAGCCACCGTGCCCAGCCATCCTCTTCACACTCTTAAAGCACTAACATGTAGCTGTGTAATGGGATTATTAACATGCTTCTCATCCTCCCTAAACAAGCATACACTGTGTCTTATTCATCTTTATATTCCTAGTGCCTAACCCATTTTCTGACATATAATAAAAAATACTTATTGGCTAAATTAAAGAATGAAGAAATGAACAAACCACCATTGTATTAAATTATGAACTTACGGATGCCTGGGAAAGGTCCATTGTTTCAAAGATGAGGCTCATTTGGGGGGACATCTGAATGATTTCTCCACTCATAAGGCAAAGCTAAAAGCAATTATTTTTCAAATGTTTATTTTTTAAAATTTCAAGTTTCTCAGATAAAAATTTATACTATGTATAAAATAAAGTAGCTCCTGTGATATAATGGAATAAGAATTAGAATGGAAGCCAGAAAATCTTAATTCTAGGTCTAGCCCTGTTAATTATTAAGTATTTAAGCAAATACTTAACATCTCCGAGTCTCAGTCTCTTCATCTATAAAACAGGGATAATAGTGCTCTTGTAGAATTGTAGGAAGGGGGACTATAAGACAAAGTCCAAAACCTATAAAATCCTATACAAATATCGGCTATTAAGAAAATTAAGTGAAATACTCCTGAATTTATAAAGTGACCATAGACCTTTTTATTAAATTAAAAAATAGAAAATAGAGAATAGCATGCGTACTCTTATACCCAGCTCATAGATTTAATCAATGTTAAGATTTTGCCATATTGCCATTACCTTTTTAAAAAAACAGTTTAAAGAGCATTATAGACATCACATCATGGCATTTCACATTCAAATGCCTATGTTTCCAAAAAATAAGTATATTTTCTATGTAATCACAATAACATTATCACACCTAACAAAATGAATAATTCTTTATTATCATCTAATACTCAGTCAATACTCAAATTTCCTCAGTTGTACCAGAAATGTCTTTTCAATGGATTTATTTAAAGCAAAATTCAATCAAAGACTATGCATTGAGTTTTTTATGTCTCCTTGGTCTCTTAATCTAAAACATTTCTTCTTTTATCAAATATGTCAAAAACTGAATTTATCAACTGCTTCCTTTCCCTCAAATTTCTGTCTTGTCTATTATTAAAGCCATCCTATCTCCTCAATCTCTTTGGCTTGCAGCTATGGAATTATCATTAACTTTTAATAGTATTATTATTATTAACTTGATACCTAAATTAATTTTATTACTAAGTCTTTTAAATTCTTGTACATTTAGTTTTCAGTGTTTCCTTTCTGCTTTTACAATCATCACTTTAGTTCCAGTTTTTCCCCTATCTAGTCACATGTCAACAATGAGAAATTTAACATTTGTGGATTCCGTTTCTTAGCTGTAAAATGAATGATCTAGAGGTGGATTGTCCAATACGGTAGCTGCTAGCCATATGTGGCTATTTATATTTAATTTTAGCTAACTAAAACTAAATAAAATTTAAAATTCAGTTCTTCAACTGCACTAATCCACACTTCAAATGCTCAGTAGCCACATGTGACTAGTAGCTACCTTCTCAGAGAACACAGATAGTTGCAGTATTGTAAAAAGTTCTACTGGACATGCTGGTCTAGAATACTTTTAATCTTTGACCAGATTATTTCAGCAAACATCCTCCTAACTCTGCACAAATTTGAAAGGTAGGGTCAGCATTCTCCTCACTGCCCTGTGTTGTTTCCCAACTACTTCTATTCCACCCCCAGTGACAACCCCTGTTTTTTCCCTGCCACTCAACAGTACTCAGTGATTCCCTCCTCAATAGCTAAAGTCCTTGGGACATGGCCTAATCTCACTCTCTACTATAACTCTGGCCTGATCCAGTGTTTATAAAGACTGAGAATCTCAACACAGCTGCCCATCAGATCCTTGACCACCTTGCTCCACTCCAGCTGTCCACTTTATGTATCTGGGACCTTCTCTCCAGAAATAATACACAATTCTGAAATATTAAATTCATGTATCTCAGTCTCTGCCCACAGCCTCCAATCCATCCAGTTATTTCATTCATTGTCTCCTACTACACTTGCTCCTCATTTTCCCAATATTTTCACATCCCTGATGTTTTCACTTCTTTCATTAGGCAGCTTTTGTCCTATGGTCTAATGCTTCTACCATTCTCATGTCAATAACTTTGAAGTCTTACTATATTTCCAGGCCTACAATATTACCTATGCCTAAGCTGCTTAGACTGGTAGAGAGTACCTCACAAAGGCAGACCTTGGTACTACTAATGATAATTTATGGTCTTCCACTCAATCAGGCTCTCAGTGCTACCCAGAAGTGCTTCTATGTTTTCCTAGGTAGCTCTCTTTCCCATCTTCCACAAAGGCTAATTTAAGTCTCTTCTTTTATCCTCAATTTTGCAAAGAACCAAGGCCCATCACTTCACGAAGAAAAGAGAAATCATCACAAGGATTTGCCTTCAAATTTCCACAGTCAAATCCATACACTCACCTATAGCTGTCTTTTCATAATTCCCTCTCATGCAGTAAGAGACAATCCATCTGCTTGGCTCTGAACCCTTAGACTTCACTCTACAATTAGAATAACCTTCCTGCTTCTTCTCTATTTACTTTCTACCCTAAGCTCAACCAATATTACTGAATGCATGAAAGAAGGAATGTGAATGACTAACCACCTATGATAAAGTACTTCAGTATATCTTTTTTTTTTTTTTTTTCTGAGATGGAGTCTTGCCCTGTCGCCCAGGTTAGAGTGCAGTGGTGTGATCTCGGTTAACTGCAACCTCTGCCTCCTGGGTTCAAGTGATTCTCCTGCCTCAGCCTCCTGAGTAGCTGGGATTACAGGCGCGCGCCACCACACCCAGCTAATTTTTTTTTTTTTTTTGTATTTTAGTAGAGACAGGGTTTCACCATGTTGCTCAGGCTGGTCTCGAACTCCTGACCTCAAATGATCCACCTGCCTTAGCCTCCCAAAGTGCTGGGATAACAGGCGTGAGCCACCGCGCCCGGCCTTGAGTGTATCTTTAAATGCTAATTAAATGAGTTTGTTTATTTAGTAGGGCAGTCATTTCATGTAAGTATGGAAATAATCTGTGATATATTCACACACTAGGATACTAATATAGACATAAATAAGTTAACAAAACTGAACTACAGTAATATGAACATCACACATATATTGATTTAAAAAAAACACTGAAGAATATGATTCCAATGTATTAAGTTCAAGAGCTGGCAAAACTAATTCATCATAGAAGTCAGAAGAGTGATTATCTCTGGAGGAAGATAAACAAACTAGGAAGGAACATGAGTGAACCTTGTAGGGTATAGGAAATTTCATGTGTCATTTTTTAGGTGATGATTATGTGAGTATACAAACACATTTTAAAAATCATAGAATCTACACTTGAAATTGGTATACATTTTATACCTTATATATGTTGTCTCTCAATTAAAATAAATATTAGAATACTTTCACTTTCTAGTTCTTTTGTATATCTCATAGCGCCGAAGGTGATATACTGTATATAAACGCTGAAGCATTCCATGTTTTCAAAAGGAATTAGGCTTTTGTTATTTTATCCTAAAATACTGAAGTTCTATAAGAAACCATAAGACTGAAGTCACTTAACAACTTATTCTCACCCTAGATTACTATGTCTTCTGGCTAACACAGTAATTTTAATACAATATACTTTCATTCTACAAAAAAAAAAAAAAATTAACCCAAGGACTTACTATAGCAGTTTTCATTGAAAAGAGAATTTATAAACCTACTCAACTTGCTGCATCCTTTATTTTTGCATCCTTTATTTTAAATAGAGTCCTAGTTTAGTTGCTGAACACATAAAATTGCTTAATCATGGCTGAATCTGCTTCTCTTTTGATCATGATTTACCTTTTTATTATCATCCAATACTGTGTTCATGCTCTCTATCCACAAAGTGTCAATAGGACCATCAAATACAACCCATTTCCGGTCAGGTGTTTCTGATAAGGCAAATTCTCTAAAAGTGTTAGCCACAATACCATCAGTCCACTGAGGAGGAAAAAAAAGAATTAAAAAGCTCTCCTCATAAAATTAGATTTAGGAGTAAAACTATGAAAATACTTCACGTTTCTTGTTTTAACAGGCACTTTCCATAAGAGAGTTGGGAATACTTATATTTAGGTTACCTCATGAGACACTGGGTCAAACTGTCCAAAAAGTTGGCCCATAGTAATAGATTTGGGGTTTACAGTTCTATAAATGACCTTTTCTTCCTCTCCATAGCCATGTTCATTCATTAAAGTTAGCGTATCCGCCAGCACATGCAGAACTTTTGTCTTAGCAGCAAAAGGCTCTCCTACTAACATAAAACTATGAAGGAAAAGAAATAATTATACAATAAGAGTCTTTAAAGAGTTAAATAATTTATATCAGTATATAAAACTTTACCCTGTGATAATTACTACTTATAATTTTTGAAATCATATGAATTTTTCTCAGACATGAAGAAAACATATTTAATTTCTGAACTGATTGACTACAAATCAAATTCTTCACTGTAATATTATTTTCTCCAAAAGGGAATATAATAAACAATCTCCAAATGACAATGAAAACTTATTATCTGTGTACTCTTAAAAAAACTAAACCTGAAGCCCACTAAGGAGAGAACTGGGAAAGATTTATATTCCCAAAGTCTTCACTTGCCATAAAACTATTAGTGTTCTTTACCAACTATTTCTGGATCTCCTCCCTCCTGGCACATATAGGATTTCTGGCCCTCTTGTGGAAAGACTAGGTAACTAGTTCTAACCAACGGGTAATAAATGGAAATGATGGGCATTACTTCCAAGCAGGGATAGGTAATTGCCAGCTAGAGACCTCACAGAGCTCCCTTTTCCCTCTAGCATGGCCGTGACCCACAACGTTGAGGTGGTGCTTACTCTAACAGCCTGGGCCCTGAGTGGTCATGACGAGCAGGGCTGCCCTGGTAACCTACTATATATAAATGAGAAATAAATCTTTGTTTTTTAAATCACTAACATTTGGGTGTTGACAGTTCTTACAGAATATCCTAGCCCATCCTTAATAACAGAAGTTGGTACCTAGAAGAGGGGGGGATATTCTTGCCATAATAATAATAATAAAAAAAACCTAATGTGGCATTGGCTTAAAGGCCAGATTGTGAGTGACAAATTAACTGGTATCAGAAGCTAAAATATGGACAATTATTGTCATGCAATGAATGATGAAACATTTGGTAAATGTATTCCTTGAGATTACCTGGAAGACAGCTAATTACCTAAGGAAATGAGAATTTTAGGTGAAAAGGATAGTAAACAGAATGTTATTAGTATATAATGACAGGTACTGGTTTCACTTAAAAAAGAACCATAACAAAGAAATGAGCCCAGAAAAAAACATGGTCAGTTTGCAAGCAGGAATGAAAGAGGGAGTCCAGAAATTCAGGGACTTCTGGAATTGAATGTATCAAGTTATTCTCATTCGCAACTGGTAAAAGATAAAATTAAGAAAACCTTTAAACAAAAATCTATTAAAACTCAGTTTGGCATCAAGTATCAAATCAAGGGTAGGGTCATTGTATCACATTATTAAAACCTATGAAGGATTAATATGGGCCGGGTGGCTCATGCCTGTAATCCCAGCACTTTGGGAGGCCAAGGTGGGCAGATCACTTGAGGTCAGGAGTTCAAGACCAGCTTGGCCAACATGGCAAAACCCTGTCTTTACTAAAAATACCAAAATTAGCTGGGCGTGATGGCATGTCCCTGTAGTCCCAGCTACTCAGGAGGCTGAGGCATGAGAATCACTTGAACCCAGGAGGTGGAGGTTGCAGTGAGCCAAGATCTTGCCACTGCATTCCAGCCTGGGTGATAGACCAAGACTCTGTCTCCCAAAAAAAAAAAAAAAAAAAGAATATAATTCCCAGTAATCATTTCAGGAGAATAAAATGATTCATGAAAAACAGACTAAGATTGTGGCTCCCTCCACAAAGCCTGATAAGGTCAAGGATACTTCCAGGAAATTTTAAAAGGTATGGCTTATTAAGGACAGTAGTTACGGATATAGGAACATGGAGCTGTCTAGAATCAAATAGATAAAAAGCTGATTGTTTTTGAGGGAGTTTACTGACCAAAAAAACTGTGAGTCTAGTCTAAAACATAAGTGAATGTTCAAGACTTAAATAATCCTTGGGAACTAGGTGTGGTGGTGCGCACCTGTAGTCCCAGCTACTCAGGAAGCTCAGGAGGGAGGATCACTTGAGCCCTGGAGTTTGAGACCAGCCTGGGCGATATCAACAGACTACATCTCAAAAATACATAATAAATAATATTTAAAATAATCCTTGGGTATTGAATGCATAAGGGTTGATTGTACTATTCCCTCTATTTTTGTATGTTTAAAAATTTACATAATGTTTTTGTAACCCTACCTTTAGAAAAAATCGTGACCATTGAGATCCCAACTTTCTATAGGCAAGAAGCAGGCTCAAAACATTTCTCAACTCTCCCAAGAACAGTATTTTCTCTATTGCCCACTTCATATGTGCCCAGAGAAGAAAATGGAAATGGAAAGACCTCTCAGAAGGTTAAACTAAGGCCCAAGAAGAAGAATTAAACTGGAAAGCCCCTCTCAGGTAGCAAAAACCAAGCAGAAGTAGATTCAGGTTTTAAGAAAGGTGGCTCTCTAAGTAAATATAAATATATATACACACACACATAACTTACTTATATAACATATATATAACTTTTACTTATATAACTATAAATACAAAATGTCCATAGCCACTTTAATGACACCCTGTATAATAAATCACATATACAAAATGCTTATGGCTCCTTAGATGAGGCCCTTCAAGTGAGAGGTCCTGAAGTTTAAACTCTATTAGTTTCACAATCAATCCATCTCTAGAACTGGGGCCCTCACATGACCAGCTGGATTTCAGAATTGTCACATTACAGTGTTGGCTGTGTCTTCTATTCTTCAGTTTCTGAATGGGAGTGTTTGCTCTGGTAACCCTGTTCTGATAAGCCCACTATTGTGCACTGGGTTTGTGGAGAAAAGATAACTTGTCTTTCTAGGTTGTAGGTCTCTGGATCAAGAGGAACAACTTCCAGGTATGATACAAAGGCTACCATGCATCGTCACCTAGGGATCCTGAACTTTGAGTCTGGTTCATTTATTGATTAGAACTTTTAGGTGCCTCCCTGGGAAGGGAAGAGTGTGTTTTTATGCAAATGGTGGTATTTATTAGTACTAGGTCACTGAATGAGCACTTCTTACCAACCCTTGTTGGACATGTAGTATGAGAAATAAACCTTTGCCTTTTAAGCCACTGGGGGGCCAGGGGGCGGGCGGGGGTTGCTCTCAACTCACCTAATCAGTTTGCCAAGTCTTTGGTTCATGGATTTTAGTTGTTTTACCAGCTTAATTAAGAAATAACATCTAACTATAGCAATATATAATCTTACCCATGTCTAACAATCATCATTTCATATGTTTGAATTATTTTTTCAAGAAAAAATTTAACAGGCTGAAGATTATGTACATTGCAGGCTTCATGAGCACATTCCAAAAATTCCTGAAATAAAAAAAAGTAATGCATTTCTACAACACAATATTATAAATGTCATACCTGTCTTATAAGTGTAGATTTTAAATTTACTAGTTAAAAAAAAACTATCATCATTGTTTATTATTTCTTAAAACTTTATTATTTTTTCAAATCAAGAGGAGAAACATAGACTCAAAATACTTTTAATGTATTAGTCTTCCCTATTGTAAGTTATGAATGATCATAGCATGATAGTACTGGGTGTATGCTGCATGAAAATAACTCCTTTTAATAGTGTTTCCCAGAATTTCACTTTTGGTTAGGAAATAGAAAGACCTGTCAGACAATCCTGCACACTTGTAGTAACCAGAAATAAACAAATAAGTTTTTTAAAATTATAAAAAATTTAAACACATAGAAGTACTTTGGATGCAAATAAATATATAAAAGAACTCAGTTTCAGAAAGGGATGATGAGCCTTTCCTAGGTAAGCACAAAGCAACAGCTGTTTTCACCCTAGGGACATTTTCTAAGTCTGGACTTGGTGGATATCGGATTGGGCCTGCTATAGACAGAAGGACTTAGCCAAAGTAGGAAGAAACCAATAGAGATTTTAATGGTTGTGTGGGCTTATGTGACAGATTTGAATTTGGAGAAGCCCAAATGCCAAGCTGGTTCTCCCGAACATCCATGCTTTTGCTCAGCATGTAGTGACACAAGAGACCAAGGGCTTGGCTGGAAAGACACACAGAGAGATTTCTTTAGTCTCAGAATGCTTAGATCCCAAAATCCTACTACAGGGAAGGGCCAATCATATGGCAGGACAATTCTTACTCAGAAGACATTTGAAGCCAGAAGTAAACTACAGCTCAGTAATGCTGCAACAAAACTCTGACTTAGGTCAACACTCAACTGAATTGATTAGCAATGCAACCTAGCTACCTGAAATAGGGAAAAATCTCATGATTTTTCTGCAGGAAAATAATACCACCTGGCCAGGTGCGGTGGCTCATGCCTGTAATCCCAGCACTTTGGGAGGCCAAGGCGGGTGGATCACCTGAAATCAGGAGTTCAAGACCAGCCCGCCCAACATGGCAAAATCCTATCTCTACTAAACATACAAAAAAATCAGCCAGGCGTGGTGGCGGGCACCTGTAATCCCAGTTACTCGGGAGGCTGAGGCAGGAGAATCGCTTGAACCCGGGAGGTGGAGCTTGCAGTGAGCCAAGATTGCACCACTGCACTCCAGCCTGGGCAACAAGAGCGAAACTTCGTCTCAACAACAAAAAACAAACAAACAAAAACAAAACAAAACAAAACAAAACATCTTAGCCTGTATAATTATTTTATACACATTGTTTAACATACAATCAAAACTTAAGGTTGGACGTCCTAGCCAGAACAATCAGGCAAGAGAAAGAAATAAAAGGCATCCAAATAGAAAAAGAAGAAGTCAAACTGTCTTCTCTGACAATATGATGCTACACCTAGAAAACCCTAAAGACTCTGCCAAAAGGCTCCTGAAACTGATAAATGACTATGGTAAAGTTTCAGGAACAAAATCAATGTACAAAAATCAGTAGCATTTCCACACACCAATAACATTCAAGCTGAAAGTTATATCAAGAATGCAATCCGGCCGGGCGCGGTGGCCCACGTCTGTAATCTCAGCACTTTGGGAGGCCGAGGTGGGTGGATCATTTGAGGTCAGAGGTTCAAGACCAGCCTGGCCAACATGGTGAAACCCCATCTCTACTAAAAATACAAAACTATCTGGGCAGTAGTGGCACGCACCTGTAATCCCAGCTACTTGGGAGGCTGCAGTAAGCAGAGATTGTGCCACTGCACTCCAGTCTGGGCAACAGAGTGAAACTCTGTCTCAGACAAAAAAAAAAAAAAGGAAAGCAACTCCATTTACAATAGACATACACACACACATACACACACACAGTAGGAATATATCTAACCAAAGAGATAAAGATCTCTACAAGGAGAACTACAAAACACTGCTGAAAGAAATCATAGATGACACAAATGGAAAAACATCCCATGCTCATGGATTGGAAGAATGAATATTGTTAAAATGGCCATGCTGCTCAATGCAATCTACGGATTCAATGCTACTCCTATCAAGCTACCAAGATTACTTTTCACAGAACTAGAAAAAAATTATTCTAAAATTCAGATGGAACCAAAAAGGAGCCTGAATAGCCAAAGCAATCCTAAGCAAAAAGAACAAAGCCAGAGGAATCACATTACCCAACTTCAAACTATAAGATTACAGTAACCAAAACTGTATGGTACTGGTACAAAAATAGTGACACAGACCAATAGAATGACTAGAAACCCAAAAATAAAGCTGCACACCTACAGCCACCTGATCTTCAACAAAGTGGACAAAAGCGATGGAGAAAAGACTTCCTATTCAATCCATAGTGCTAGGATGGCTTGTTAGCCATATATAGAAGAATTATTGGACCCCTACCTTTCACCATATACAAAAATTAACTCAATATGGACTGAAAAGTTAAGATCTCAAACTGTAAGAATCCTAGAAGAAAACCTAGGAATCACCATTCTGGACACTGGCCTTGGGAAGGAATTTATGACTAAGTCCTCAAAAGCAATCGCTACAAAAACAAAAACTGACAAGTGGGACCTATTTAAACTACAGAGCTTCTGCATGGCAAAAGAAACTATCAACAGAAAAAACAACAACCTACAGAATGGGAGAAAATATTCACAAATTATGCATCCAGCAAAGGTCTAATATCCAGAATTGATAAGGAACTTAAACAATTGAACAGGAAAAAAAAACATTTAAAAATGGGCAAAGGATACGAACAGATGCTTCTCAAAAGACATGCAAGCAGCCAACAAATATATGAAAAAATGTTCAACATCACTAATCGTCAGAGAAATGCAAATCAAAAATACAATGAGATACCATCTCATACAAGTCAGAATGGCTATTACTAAAAAGTTAAGAACAACAGATGCTGGCAAGCCTGCAGAGAAAAGGGAATACTCATATGCTGTTGGTAGGAATGCAAATTAGTTCAGTCACCGTGGAAAGCAGTTTAGAGATTTCTCAAAAAACTTAAAACAGAACTACCATTTGACCCAGCAATCCCATTACTGGGTATATATCCAAAAGAAAATAAATTGTTCTACCAAAGAGACACATGCATGCATTATGTTTACCACAGCACTATTCACAATAGCAAAGACATGGAATCAACCTAGGTGCCCATCAACAGTAGATTGAATAAAGCAAATGTACATATATACCATGGAATACTATGCAGCCATAAAAAAGAACAAAATCATGTCCTTTGCAGCAACATGGATATAGCTGGAGGCCACTCTCCTAAGCAAATTCACACAGGAACAGGAAACCAAATACTGCATGTTCTCACTTGTAAGTGGTAGGCAAACACTGGGTACTCATGAACATAATAATGGCAACAACAGACACTGGGGACTACTAAGGGGAAGAGAGAGGGAGGGGAACAAGGGCTGAAAAACTAACTATTGGGTACTATGCTCAGTACCTGGGTGATGGTATCAATAATACCTCAAACTTCAGCATCATGATTATGCCCATGAAACAAACCTGCACATGTACCCCTTGAATCTAAAAGTTGAAATTCCTTTAAAAATAAGTAAATAGGCCAGGAGTGGTGGCTCATGCCTGTAATCCCAGCACTTTGGGAGGCCAAGGTGAGTGGATGGGTTGAGCCCGGGAGTTCAAGACCAGCCTGAGCAACATAACAAGACCTCCTCTCTACTAAAAATACAAAAAAATTAGCCAGGTGTGGTGGTACATTCCTGTAGTCCCAGCTACTCAGAAGGCTGATGTAGGAGGATTGCTTGAGCCCAGGAGTTGGAGGCTGCAGTGAGCCATGATTGCACTGCTGTACTCCAGCCTGGGTAACAGAGCAAGACCCTAACTCTAAATAGTCACTTCATAACAGAACCAAAAAAATAATGAAGTCATGAGAAATAGCTGATGACCAAGAGAAAAAACAGTAAACAAAACAAACTCATAGATGACCCAGATGTCATAATTAACAGATAAGAACTTGACAATACATTTACAAAGTATAAAAAGAATAGATTATAAGATAGAAAAAATAGAGGAAAAAATATAGAATTTTAGCAGAAAAGAGAACTCTCTAAAAAGAACCAATTGGACACACTAGAACTAAAAAGATCAAAATATGTGAAATTAAGAATTCATTGAATGGGCTTATCAGCAAACTGGACAAAGCCAAAGAAAGAACCACTAACCTTGAAGATAGGTCAATTAGAAAGTATCCAAACTACAGAGAGAAAGTAATGAAAAACAAAAGAGAAAAAAAGAGGCATGAGAGACACATGAAACTATATAGAATGGTCTAATATACATGTCACTGAAGTTCCGGAAGGAGAGAGGAGAAAAAATTAAGGCATAAAAACATATAAAAAGATAATTACTGAATATTTTCTGGCTGAGTACAGTGGTTCATGCCTGTAATCACAGCTCTTTAGGAGGCTGCTTGAGCCCAGAGCTTGATACCAACCTGAGCAACAAAGTAAAACCTTGTCTCTATGAAAAATAAAATAATTAGTTGGGTGTGGTGGCACGCGCCCATAATCCCAGCTACTTGGGAGGCTGAGATGGGAGGATTGCTTGAGCCCAGGAGGTTGACAATGCAGTGAGCTATGATCATGCCACTGCACTCCAGCCTCGGCAAAAGTGAGACCCTGTCTCTAAAAAAAGAAAAGAAAAAGTAAATTTTCTGGCAAAACACATCAACACACAGATTCAAGCAGCATAGCAAATCCCAGGCAATAAAGTACAAAACAAAACTAGGCACATAGTCAAACTGCTCAAAACCAAAAAAGAAAAAGAAAAAATATTAAAACAGCCAGAGGAGTATAAATAAGAAAAATGCCTGACTTCTAAGCACAACACTGAAAGGCAGCAGTCTATGAAATAACATCTTTAAATGCTGGGCGCAGGGTGGGGTGGGGAGGAGACACCTTGCCAATCTAGAATTCTGTATCTGTGAAAATATTCTTCAGAAATAAAGATTAAATAAAGACATTTTCAGACAGACAAAAGGTGAGGGAATTTGTTGCCAGAAGACCCATATACACACAAATACTAAAGGAAGTTTTTTAGGTTAAAAATAAAAAATCCAAAATGAAAACATATATCTGCTGGAAAGAATAAAAGCACTAGAAAGGGTAGCGTAAGAGGCTTTTTTTTTTCAAATACAATACTTAAAGCAGAAAATAATAACAATGCATTGTGGTGTTTACAAAATATATAGAAGTAAAATATATGACAACAATAGCACAATGGGCAGGAGTGAGTGGATAATGAAACTATACCATTTAAGGTGCTTATATTTTTTGTCAACTGGTAAAATACTAACTGTAAAGTTGTAATAAGCCAAGGATATATACTGCAACCTGTGGAGTGACCACTAAGGTAAAGCTATAAAGCCAATAGAGAAGATAAAATGGAGTGATAAACATTTTTTGAAATCCAAAAGAAGTCAGTAAAACAAATACAGAACCCATTAAAAAGCAAGATGGCAATTTAGTACTATTTTTCCAACTGGAATCTACGGATTTATTGCAGTATTCATAAGAGTACATAAGAGTTCTTCAAGAAAATATTAAAATTTTGTGTTTTCATTTTGGTGTTTAAAAATCATATTAGCATATTCTGAATCATCTTGATAGTCACCTTAACCTGCCATAAAATGCATATTAGTATTTGAGCATAAGAATTTAAAAAACAGACAAAAAAATAAAGATGCCTTTAAGTTAAGTGATCTCTTAATGATTTGACAGCTCAAACAAAAAGATTTTGCAGTCATATCGTAAAGAGAAGACATGGAAGAATTGAATCATCACTTGGCAAAAGGTGGTTTATGAACGCTGAACTCAAGAGAATCTTCACTGTACATTTCACAATAGAAATTCCCATAAAGTAACAAGTTACTTTCAGCCACATATTACCTATTTCATTAATTGCGTTAAATTGAATTTGAGATTGTTTTGTTTGTAATGTTATTTTATTTATTATTTTTATTTTAAGATGGAGTCTTGCTCTGTCGCACAGGCTGGAGTGCAATGGCGCAATCTCGGCTCACTGCAACCTCCGCCTCCCGGGTTCAAGCAATTCTCCTGTCTCAGCCTTCCAAGAAGCTGGGACTACAGGCGTGCACCACCATGCCCCGCTAATTTTTGTATTTTTAGCAGAGACAGGGTTTCACCATGTTGGCCAGGCTGGTCTCAAACTCCTGATCCCAGGTGATCCACCTGCCTCGGCCTCCCAAAGTGCTGGGATTATAGGTGTGAGCCACCATGCCTGGCTTGTAATTAATTTTAAACTATATTCTGGTTTTCTATAACGGCTATAAGCAGCAGTTAAGTATATACATATTTAAGCTTCATTATAATATGTATAATCTACATGAAGTTGGAAATGCGAGTGGTTTGTGTCTTATTTTTGTTATTTTAAATTTTTAATTGACAAATATTTTTATATATTTAAGGTGCAACATGATGATTTGATAAACATATACATTATATAATGATTACCACAATCTAATTAACATATCCATCACTACCCGTAGTTACCGTGTGCATCTGTGTTAAGGACTGTTTCCTTTAAAAAAAAATAAAAATGAGTCTATTAAGTAAATTTGAGAAACAAAGCCTTATTATGTTACCTATAGGATGTTTTACTACTTTCATTTCTATCTAATAAAATACACAATAGTATTTAGTATGCAATACTATATATTACACAATAGTGTAATACACTATTACAGTATGTATACTAATATTGTAAATCACAAGATAGAAAATAAAATATTTTTTCTCAGCCAGGCACAGTGGCTCACACCTGTGATCCCAGCACTTTGGGAGGCCAAGTCTGGCAGATCACCTGAGGCTGGGAGTTCAAGACCAGCCTGCCCAACATGGAGAAACCCCATCTCTACTAAAAATACAATTAGCTGGGCATGGTGGCGCTTGCCTGTAATCCCAGCTACTTGGGAGGCTGAGGCAGGAGAACAGGTTGAACCTGGGAGGCAGAGCTTGCAGTGGGCTGCGATTGCACCATTGCACTCCAGCCTGGGCAACAAGAGCAAAACTCTGTCTCAAAAAATAATAATTATTATAATAAAATAAAATAATAATAATACTTATTCTCTTACAAAGAACATTACTTTTTTTAATTTTTATTTTTTTTGAGACAGAGTCTTGCTCTGTGGACCAGGCTGGAGTGCAGTGGTGGGACACCACCATGCCTGGCTAATTTTTTGTATTTTTAGTGGAGACAGGGTTTCACCATATTGGCCAGGTTGGTCTCAAACTCCTGACCTCAGGTGATCCACCCATCTCAGCCTCCCAGAGTCCAGGATTACAGGTGTGAAACACCGTGCCTGGCCTGTTTAACCTGAATCTTGACAGGTTAACCCTGGTATCATATAATATGAAAGTACCCAAATTTACTTATTGTTATTAACTAAAGTGGACAAAATAGGGGATTTTCCTCAAAACAGAATAATTTCACACATTAATAAATCTTGGTAAACAATTGAGTCATCGGATGAATTTATTATGCCGAATAAGTCATTCTCATGGGTTTACTTACGTGATAGTCAGCTTCAGGAAGTTTAATACCAGGAAATAAGTCACTAGTTATTCCATTAAATAAAGGTATATCATGTGATAAAAACTTTGGTTCATTTACATCTTTAATTGATCGAAGAAGCTAAAATTACCCAAAAAGTACAATGTTAAGTTAGTTGCCAGCAATTGCAACCCCACTTCTCCCTCCCCTCCCAGCCCCGGCCTGCCCCACCCCACCCCCCTGGCTAAAAGTCAAAGTTTATTTTACATTGCTCTCTGGAATCCCTATAATAAAAAGTCAATACTATGCTTATCAAACTAAAAAGTCTTTGTATTCATATGAAGTATAACAACATAACCCAAAAAACCATCATTTCAACCTCTTATGAAAAGACAAAGCTCAACCCTCTCAAGTGCCTATTTGTAGTTCCTGATTAACCTCACTAAAGAAAATTATCTTTCTACTGAAACTTTCCCAATGTGTATATTTAATACTTACAAGTATATCTTCATTTTCATTTGGGTATTTTAGTTTTAGATTGCCAGCAGCCACTAAAACGGCTTTTACTGCTCGCATTCCATAGTCGTAATGAAATTGCGATGAGAGCTGCTCTGAGCAAAGCCTATAGGTCATTACTATTTTCACAGACAGAGGTCTTGCATTCAAAAATCCGTAAGAGTAGAGGGAGATTTCTGCTATAAGCGCATAGTTTGGAACCATCATAGCCACTGTTCTAAAAAGAACCTGAAGTATAAAATAAATGAAATATATTACGTACATAAATGAAGCTGTTTTTAAGCTGAGCATAAGTATTCAAAGGTGTGGTGTTGTCAAGTTTATTCTCCAAATGCAGCACCTTTTTCTAAACTCTAATTTTTTTTAGTAGTACTTTTAATATTTTTATGCAGTTAGTATTTTTTTGGATGTTTAAAAAAGTTTTGGGAGGGAAATTACAATTTTATGGAAAAAAATCATTTTGAATGGATTATGCTGGGTTTTTTTAATTCACGAACTTACACTCAAAAAATATTGGCTGGGTACAGTGGCTCATGCCTGTAATCCCAGCACTTTGGGAGGCTGAGGCGGGCGAATCATGAGGTCAGGAGATCAAGACCATCCTGGCTAACATGGTAAAACCCCGTCTTTACTAAAAATACAAAAAATTAGCCAGGTGTAGTGGTGTGTGCCTCTAGTCCCAGCTACTCGGGAGACTGAGGCAAGAGAATCGCTTGAACCCGGGAGGTGGAGGTTGCAGTGAGCCAAGATCGCGCCACTGCACTCCAGCCTGGGCAATAGAGTAAGACTGTTTCAAAAACATAAAATAAATAAATAAATAAATAAATAAATAATATTACCTTAAGATTGTCCGGCAATTCAGAGCGTCCTGCATAGCCAGGATTCATGGTAATAGCTACAAAACAATTCGGATTGAGCTTAAGTTCTGTCCCTTCAAAAACAAACACAACCAACTTCTGTTGAATAGCTCTCTGAATGCAAAGGATCTGTTGAGCTACCACTGACAACACTTCCAACTCAATTCGATTGAATTCATCAAAGCAAGCCCAAGCACCAGAAGAAGCCAGTCCTTTAAAAAACTAAGGACAAAGAAAAAGGAAAGTGATTTTTTTCTCAGGAAAGGATATCATCTCTTAAAACAAATACCTAATATTTTAAGTCAGAATTGAAAGTTAAATTTAGTAAAAGTTCCAAGGATAAAAACAATGTCTTTACTCCTAAAATGAAAGTCCAAGTAATATTCAAACCACATTCATGTTTAAACATGAGTTTGCTTCCATTTATCCAATTAGACCTAGCTGTAAGTTTGAAACATTTAATATTATTGATTCAGCAATTTAACTACCTTTCCCATTGCTAGATAATCTAGCCCATCAGAACAGTTGAACACCACACACTGTACAGCAAGAGCTTTAGCCAAGTCCTTGGTGGTTTCGGTTTTTCCTGTGCCTGCTGGCCCCTCTGGAGCACCTCCAAGGTTTAAATAGAAAGCACCTATCTGAAATGAAAAACACATGTGAAAAGAAATCCATGCTTAAATTTAAAAAAACAACAGACACTTGTTTACCAAATGGATTTAGCCTGTTCTGTAGCTTCAGAGAAGCCATTATATAATTACATTGTTTAATTTTTAGCCCAAATTTTTCTAGCTGCATGAAGAGAAAGCATTTTAAAACGTTCAAAAAAGTGACAATGTATCAAAACTTGTCTTCTGACACTTTCATAGGTATCCCATTTGTTTTTAAAAACAATCTAGCCTTATGGGGGTAAAATTAGTTCAGGAAGGTTTTAATTAGAAGTGGTTGTGGAGATGGTTGTGGAGGACAATAATGACACATTCTAGATGGCTCACTGCAAAGGGGGTAAAACACCAGAAAGTGAGAGCTATAAATGGCACCCATGATTGGGAAAAGAAACAGATGACCTATTATATAATTTTGTCTACGATTTGCCTGGCTATTGCCTTTTACTCTTGGTATGTTCTCCATTTTCTACATTCCCATAAAACTGCTCTATGCTTCTCTTACCGGTAGTATCACTTTCTACCTTGTATTATACTTAATTACGTACATTCTTTTTTCTCATCAATTAGTCTTTAAAGTGCTTAATGACAATATCAGCAGTATTTGAATTATTCCTGGGTCCCCACAATGACTGGAATAGTGGCTGGAAATTTTTAGAAACATAAATTACAGTCAGCTCTAACTATGGAGTCTGTTTCACGGGAGTTTCAAATTTAACTTCTTTTAGAAAAAGTACGGCTAAGTGACCAAGGCTGTGCATGTAAGGGGGGTAGGGGGAATAAGTGAACTCTGCAGTTTGCTCTTAATTTTGCTATGAACCTAGAACTGCTCAAAAAAAGGTCTACCTTTAAAAATAAGTAAACCACAAAGTGATAAATATTTTTACTTTATTTTTACTTTATTTTAAAAATCCAAGAGAGACAGCTAGTGTAAAAAATGCAGTATCAGTGATAGTTCATCCATTTTATTTTATTTTTTGAGACCGGGTCTTGCTCTATTACCCAGGCTGGAGCACAGTGGTGAGATCTTGACTAGGTGCCCCTCTGCCTCCTGGGCTCAAGCAACCCTCCCACCTCAGCCTCCCGAGTAGCGAGGACTATAGGTGTATGCCACCACACTCAGTTTATTTTTTGTATTTTTAGTAGAGAAGAGGTCTCACTGTGTTGCCCAAGCTGGTCTCAAACTCCTGAGCTCAAGCCATCCTCCTGCCTTAGTCTCCCAAAGTCCTGGGATTATAGGCATGAGCTACCACACCTGGCCAACCTATTTTAAATTTATAATGGATGCCATATTGTTAATGCCCATTAACTTGATTGCTGAAAACCTCGGGCTCTTCCTTTTCAATTTTAAGAAAATGTTCACAAACATGTTCCCTTTATTGTGAATAATAAATATACTAGTGTGTCTGGAATTGGTGGGTGCTTGGTCTCACTGACTTCAAGAATGAAGCCGCGGACCCTCGAGGTGAGTCTTACAGCTCTTAAGGTGGCGCATCCAGAGTTTGTTCCTTCTGATGGTCGGATGTGTTGGGAGTTTCTTCCTTCTGGTGGGTTCGTGGTCTCGCTGGCTCAGGAGTGAAGCTGCAGACCTTCACAGTGAGTGTTACAGCTCTTAAGGCAGCACGTCTGGACTTGTTCATTCCTCCTGGTGGGCTCGTGCTCTCACTGGCTTCAGGAGAGAAGCTGCAGACCTTCGCCCTGAGTGTTAAAGCTCTTAATGCAGCACGTCTGGAGTTGTTCGTTCCTCCCAGGGGGGCTCGTGGTCTCGCTGGCTTCAGGAGTGAAGCTGTAGGTCTTCGCAGTGAGTGTGACAGCTCAGTGGACCCAGAGTGAGCAGTAGCAAGATTTATTGCAAAAAGCAAAAGAACAAAGCTTCCACAGCGTGGAATAGAACCCGACCATGTTGCCAATGCTGGCTCAGGCAGCCTGCTTTTATTCTCTTATCTGGCCCCACCCACATCCTGCTGATTGGTAGAGCGAGTGGCCTGTTTTAACAGGGTGCTGATTGGTGCATTTACAATCCCTGAGCTAGATACAAAGCTCTCCACGTCCCCATCAGATTAGTTAGATACAGAGTATGGACACAAAGGTTCTCCAAAGCCCCACCAGAGTAGCTAGATACAGAGTGTTGATTGGTGCACTCACAAACCTTGAGCTAAACACAGGGTGCTGATTGGTGTGTTTACAAACCTTGAGCTAGATACAGAGTGCCGATTGGTGTATTTACAACCCTGAGCTAGACATAAAGGTTCTCCAAGGCCCCACCAGAGCAGCTAGATACAGAGTGTTGATTGGTGCACTCACAAACCTTGAGCTAAACACAGGGTGCTGATTGGTGTGTTTACAAACCTTGAGCTAGATACAGAGTGCCGATTGGTGTATTTACAACCCTGAGCTAGACATAAAGGTTCTCCAAGGCCCCACCAGAGCAGCTAGATACAGAGTGTTGATTGGTGCACTCACAAACCTTGAGCTAAACACAGGGTGCTGATTGGTGTATTTACAATCCCTGAGCTAGACATAAAGACTCTCCATGTCCCCACCAGACTCAGAAGCCCGGCTGGCTTCACCTAGTGGATCCCACACCCGGGCTGCAGGTGGAGCTGCCTGCCAGTCCCACGCTGTGCGCTCGCACTCCTCAGCCCTTGGGTGGTCGATGGGACTGGGCGCCATGGAGCAGGGGGTGGTGCTCCTCAGGGAGGCTCCGGCCGCACAGGAGCCCATGGAGTGGGTGGGAGGCTCAGGCATGGCGGGCTGCAGGTCCCGAGCCATGCCCGGCGGGAAGGCAGCTAAGGCCCGGTGAGAAATCGAGCGCAGCGCTGGTGGGCTGGCACTGCTGGGGGACCCAGTACACCCTCCACAGCCACTAGCCCAGGTGCTAAGTCCCTCATTGCCCGGGGCCGGCAGGGCTGGCCGGCTGCTCAGAGTGCGGGGCCCGCCAAGCCCACGCCCACCTGTAACTCCAGCTGGCCCGCAAGCGCCGCACGCAGCCTTGGTTCCCGCTCGCGCCTCTCCCTCCACACCTCCCTGCAAGCTGAGGGAGTGGGCTCCAGCCTTGGCCAGCCCAGAAAGGGGCTCCCACAGTGCAGCGGCGGGCCGAAGGGCTCCTCAAGTGCCGCCAAAGTGGGAACCCAGGCAGAGGAGGCGCCGAGAGCAAGCGAGGGCTCTGAGGACTGCCATCACGCTGTCATCTCTCACTAGGAGACTTTTTCTCAGTGTCTAGTGTTATATTCAAGCGTTTAATATGATCCCGGGTGGGCACAGTGGCTCACACCCGTAATCCCAACACTTTGGGAGGCATAGGCAGGTGGATCACTTGAGGTCAGGAGTTCAAGACCAGCCTGGCCAACATGGTGAAACCCTGTCTCTACGAAAAATACAAAAATCAGCCAGGTACAGTGGCACATGCCTGTAATCCCAGCTATTTGGGAGGCTGAGGCAGGAGAATCACTTGAACCTGGGAGGCGGAGGTTGTAGTGAGCCAAGATCGCACCACTGCACTCCAGCCTGGGTGACAGAGTGAGACTGTCTCAATTTAAAAAAAAAAAAAGGTGGCCCAGTGAGGTGGCTCATGCCTGTAATCCCAGCACTTTGGGAGGCTGAGGTGGGCAGATCACCTGAGGTAGGGAGTTTGAGACCAGCCTACATAACATGGAGAAACCCTGTCTCTACCAAAAACACAAAATTAGTTGGGCGTGGTGGCACATGCCTGTAATCCCAGCTACTTGGGAGGCTGAGGCAGGAGAATCGCTTGAAGCAGGGAGGCGGAGGTTGTGGTAAGCCGAGATCGCACCATTGCACTCTAGCCTGGGCAACAAGAGCGAAACTCCATCTCAAAAAGTGTTGAATATGATTCTGATTTTTACAACTCAAAGTTGTTAGCCCCCACCTTACAAGCACACCACAGCTTCTGACTTCACAGAGGTAACAGATATGACATCCTATTTTGAAATTCATCTGCTCAACAAATATTTAGGGATAACTGTGTCCTTGTTCAGCACTAGAGTAGAGAACAAGACAGACATAGTTCTTGCCCACAGGCAGCTACCCGAGAAAATAAAGGGTTTGGTGAAATCTTTTCTCCCAGATCCATTGTTGCCCTACCCAGAGCCCCTTTACCCAGCCATTGCATTCATCCCCCATTTGCTGTGTCAGTTGCAAATAGTTCACAGCTGCTCTTTTCTCCTTATCAGCAAGAAAATGCCTGAAAGCTTACTCATATCCCTGCCCCAGGGGTGACCCTTAGTCAATGACATTAAACGGGTACAAAAGTCAGACCCTGCTGCTTTGAAGTGGAATAATTCGTGCCATTCATGCTTCAGAGTGCCCTGTGAGAGCAGGCTACAACTGTACATCTGTTGAAACCACATCTTTGCTTAACTTTTTACTGTCCCATCCTGCTGTCCTTATTTCCCTACAGGTTTTTACTAAGAACATTACCTAATAAATCCTTTGCACAAGAATTGCCACTTCATTTCTGCTTTAAGATAACTCATTCGAAGACACTTTAATTTCACTTACTCAGCACAGGTAGAGTGGTACTTCTTGATGCTCCTTCTCAATTCCCGTAGGAAGGGTTGCCAGATTTAGCAAATAAAAATACAGAATGCCCAGTTAAATTTTATTTCAGATAACGGCCGGGCCCAGTGGCTCACGTCTGCAATCCCAGCACTTTGGAAGGCTGAGGCAGGCAGATGGCTTGAGCCCAGGAGTTCAAGACCAGCTTGGGCAAGCAACGTGGCTGAAACCCCATCTCTACTAAAAAAATACAAAAATTAGCTGGGTGTGTTGGCATCTGCCTGTAGTCCCAGCTACTTAGGAGGCTGAGGTAGGAGGATCTCCTTGAGCCCAGGTGGCAGAGGTTGCAGTGAGCCATGATGGCGCCACTGCATTCCAGCCTGGGCGGCAGAGCGAGATTCTGTCTCAGAACAAAACAAAACAAACAAAAAATTCTGTTACAGTGGGTAGCTAGTCAGGTATGAGCAGAGCCGGAGAGCGCGCCTCACCCCACACACACCAGGAGTGTCCGGTGACCATCAGGTGATGGTCAGGTGTTGTTAACTGTCTCTCTAAAGTAATAATTGGTCACAGCTGGTACCAGGGATGGGCGTGCTCCTAACAAACAGAAAACACCTGAAACTGGTGATCAGCTGTTTCCCCATAAGATCTCAGGAGTTGGGTGAGTGGGGAGAAGTAATGCAAGACCCAGGAAGTATGTCAATGTATAAAAGTCAAAAGGTCAAGCTGCGTACTTGATCTCTCAAGTCACTCACTTGGGCCTCCTTGAAGTGTGCTTTACCCCCTTTCGTTCCTGCTCCAACACTTAATGAACTTTCGCTCCTGCTCTAAACCCTGCCTCAGTCTCTTTCTGCCTTATGCCCCTCAGTTGAATTCTTTCTTCTGAGGAGGTAAGAATTGAGGTCGCTGCAGTCTGGTACCGATACAGATATGCTCCACTGGTAACATATTTTGGTGCCATGTGACTTGGGTAATTTCCACTGCTACCATTCAGATAAACAATGAATAATTTATTAGTGTAAGTATGTCCCATGCAATATTTGGGACATATTTACTTACATTAAAAAATTATTTGTTGTTTGTCTGAAATTCAAATTTACCTGGGAATCCTGTATTTTATCCGGCAACCACATTCCCAGGGTTTTTATAGTTGAACAGCTCTATCCTCCATAGCTTCAGCTCTGGATCTCAGGTCTCAGCACCACCCCCATACATTTCATCTCTCCATCCTACTTAACAGCACTAATTTGGTGTCCTAAGGCCCAAATGTACTTTTCTCATCTTCCTGTCATCTCTCCCAAGACGCCACTGCAAAAACTGATACCATTTTCCAAAGCTCCAGTTTTCTCATTATATTGTCAATACTCTCCTCTTTCTAATTATCCCCCATCGGAGTGACTCACAACTTTCATACGATAAAGTTCAAACACTCTTGTATGCTACAAAAGCACCCAGAAGTAAATATTCACTATTATAATTTTGCATAAAGAGAATTCAGGATTAGAAAGGGATAATTGTATTCAACTACTCCAGGTAAGACAAGAGAGAAAAGATGACGCTACAGCAAAAAGTAATTATTAATGTGTGAATTAAGATAATTTAAATGCATACCAATGTTCTGTAACACCTGTCAGTTAGAGGCGTAATGACAAGTCGAGGTGAGTTACCAAGATATTCATAAGCATATTTTACATTGCAATTAATGATACGAACTCGGGCATTCTCATTTTCCCAATAATATCGGAGCTGAGCAAGCCACAGGAAATCTGTATCATGTGAGACACCTAGAAAAAATAAAGTAAAATAAGACACATGATCCTTAAATGGAAATAATTTTAAAAAGAAGTATTTTATCTTTTATAACAGCAAATACTAAAAATAATTCATGTTTGCCAACTTATAAAAAAGATTGTGTTAAAAAAATTCTGTTGAGAGAAGAATACATATAGTACAAGTCTTTGTTTCCAGATGCTATCAACATTTTATCTTTAAAAATTAAAGAAAAAGTCACATACCCATTTTAATCATGTCCATGACCACATCTCTAGCATGGACATCAATAGTAACCAAAGCCCCCAGAGTGGTCCTGGTCTGCTTAGACAACTTTCCTCTTACCAGCTCTACAATCTCATTCAGTTGGTTCTGAAGTTCCTTATAATACTTCTTTAATCCCTACAAAATAAAAAAAAAAGCAATCTAATTGATGTCACATCATACTTAAAACATGTATTTTATATATTTAGTCTTTTATAAAACAATTCTGACTTCTTAATCTATCTCAATATAGAAATGAGTTCAAGCGTGGTGGCTCATGCCTAAAATCCCAGCATCTAGGAGGTTAAGATGGGAGGATCTTCTTTTTTTTTTTTGAGACTGAGTCTCTGTCGCCCAGGCTGCGGTGGTGGGATCTCGGCTCACTACAACCTCCGCCTCCTGGGTTCAAGTGATTCTCCTGCCTTGGCCTCCTGAGTAGCTGGGACTACAGGCATGTGCCAGTAGGTCTGGCTAATTTTTTGTGTTTTTAGTAGAGATGAGGTTTTACCATGTTGGCCAGGCTGGTCTCGAACCCCGACCTCAAGTGATCCACCCACCTCGGTCTCCCAAAGTGCTAGGATTACAGGTGTGAGCCACGGCACCAGGCGCAAGGTGGGAAGATCATTTGAGGACATGATTTCAAGACCAGCCTGGCAAAGCAGAGAGACCCCTGTCTCTATAAAAAAATTTTTAAATTAGCCAGATGTGGTGGTGTGTGCCTGTGGTCCTAGCAATTCAGAGGCTGAGGCAACAGGATAGCTTGAGCCCAGGAGTTTGAGGTTATACTGAGCTATGACTACGCCATTGCACTCCAGCCTGGGTGACAGAGCAAGACCCTGTCTCTAAACACACACACACACATACACACATGGAGAAATGAATTTTGTGAGTGATTTTGTCTAAGCCCAGTAAAATATTAAGAACAAGTTCTCAGGCCAGGTGCAGCGGTTCATGCCTCTAATCCCAGCACTTTGGGAGGCTAAGGTGGGCGGATCTCCTGAGGTCAGGTGTTCAAGACCAGCCTGACCAACATGGATAAACCCCATCTCAACTAAAAATACAAAATTAGCCGGGTGTGGTGGCACATGCCTGTAATTCCAGCTACTCGGAAGGCTGAGGCAGGAGAATCACTTGAACCTGGGAGGCGGAGGTTGCAGTGAGCCGAGATCATGCCTTTGCACTCCAGCCTAGGCAACAAGAGCGTAACTACATCTCAAAAAAAAAAAAAAATGAATAGTTGTAATTTTAAGATTATATATAGAAACTGACAGACGTATTGTCTTTGCAAACAATAGATAAGTTAACTAAGAAACATAGGATGGGGCCAGGCACAGTGGCTCATGCCTCTAATCCTAATACTTTGGGAGGTTGAAGTGGGAGGATTTCTTGAGGCCAGGAGTTCAAGACTAGCCTGGGTAGCATAGCAAGATCTCATTTCTAAAAATAATAAAATTAAATTTTAAAAAACCTGGAATGAAGGATGTTACTTAAAAGCAAACAATGCTTTACCTCCGTCCCGCCACTTATCACTTCCTGTGTCTCAGATGTCCAGAACATTTGAGAAATACAAAGTACAACTTGGCCAGGCCACTCTCGAACCCAGTCTCTTCTTGCAGATTCTGGATAAGCCTGAACAATTAAAATAAATTTCTAACTTTAAAAGCTTGAATGAGAAAAAATAGCTAAATGTCTAACAATAGAGAAATGTAATATTTGGCACATACATAGGCTAGAATGTCATATAGTCATAAAAAATGTTAAATGACTAAAAGACTCCCTCCAAATTTTATAAATTATTATTATGTTTTTGAAATATTTATTTATAAAAGAATGGAAAGATAAACACCAACATGTTAATAATGGGTAGATTTAACTGTTGATTCTTCTGGAAGTTGATTTCTGTGTGATTTTTATGTTCCTTTGCTGTGGAGAGTTGTCAAGTTTTCTATATAGAATACCTATTACTTCTATCATAATAAAATATAAAAATTTTAGTAAACTTAGAAAAAACTAGTCAAGGCCAGGGTGGTGACTGACACCTGTAATCCCAGCACTTTGGGAGGCCGAGGCAATGGATCACCTGAGGTCAGGAGTTCGAGACCAGCCTGGCCAATGTGGTGAAACCCCCATCTCTACTAAAAATAAAAAAAAAAAAATAGCTGGGCATGGTGGTGGGCACCTGAAATCCCAGTTACTAAAGAGGCTGAGGCAGGAGAATTGCTTCAACCTGGGAGGCAGAGGTTGCAGTGAGCCAAGATCATGCCACTGCACTCCAGCCTGGGCAACAGAGTGAGACTCTGTCTCAAAAACAACAACAACAACAACAACAAAACTAGTCAAATAGATTATGTATATTGATGCCAAGATTTAATTGAAAAGGAGATTATACAATATAGTTAAAAACTGCACTAATAGCGCCCTTGTATTATTTATCCATAGCTTTTCTGAAAACCTATATGACCAGGGTATACAATTTTACAATTATATATTTGTTCAATTATGCATAATTGAACCATCTATAGTTTTGAATTCAAGGTATACTTTCATTTTTTCTAACACTTTGATATTCAAAATGCATTTAAATGGATTTATGGAGGGAGAGGTTTAATCTTTTTAAAAATAGCTTTTTCAACAGTAAGTGATTTTAGCAGATCCAAACTATAAATTGAAAACAACTACAGAATGAATTTTGAAGCTGATGCTAATGCAAATTATATTTTCAATAAAATAACATCATCTTAGATATAAGAAAGTTAAAATAGGATATCAGTATTATTATAAAATGCTTCTTAGCCATATTTAGAAACAAATGCAAACGATAAGCTAACCTAAGCTTCAAAGAAGGATGAATGGTGACTGAGAGCTATTGCTAGGTACATAGAAGGTCAATTTCTATACTGATTAAAGAAATACTTTCATGGACAATGGTGGCTCTTTCCTATGTGTTTTAGTTTGCTTTGAATCATAAATAGTAAAAGGAGAGAAAAAGTCAAGATTTATTTGTAGGAACACTGAAGCTGAACAGAATAGCCACCACAAGAAGATGAGCTCCATAGGGCTCTCGGTCAAAGAAAAAGAACACTCACTCACATATAGTGAGTTGCTGAATATAAAGCTTCGATGCCTTTTAAAACTATTCTACTACTTTACAACTGCTCATTTGTGGTCCTAAAGGCAGAAATATACGTGTTTATCATTCAAGATTAGGTTAATTGGATTAACATAAGTGAGATACATGTAGTGCCAAGTGTTATCCTTCTTTCAAATTTATGACATATCCCCCTTTAATGTTTGTTCATCTCATTTGAGTTTTTAAGTAGTTGTTTAAGTGTAAAAAGCAGTAAGTGAACTAGGTCATGCATTTACCACTCGTGTCTGAAGAGAACTGTCCTACAGATCCACATGTGCTAATGTGCAGGATTGTTTGCCTATGAAACATATCCACTAGCCTAGCTCATAGCATTTCAATTTTAATATATCTAAAATTGAGCTCTTGATATTCCCCTAAGCCTCCACAAATCTGCTTCTCCTCCAGGAATCACCCAGAGTAAATGCCACCCATATGCTCAAATTAGAAGCCTAAAAGTGATTTTTGAGAACTCCCCCTCCTTACCCTTGTACTCTACAACAAATTCATCATCAAGACCTGTTGAAATTAACTACAAAATTTATTTCTGATATTCTACTTTTCTCCCTATCTTCTGCCATTTGCCTAGTGACAGACCACATCTTTTTTCCTTTATTTTTGGTTTTTATTTTTATTTTTTGAAACTGAATCTCTGGCAAACCAGCCCAAATCATCTTTCATCTGAACTAATCTGAGTCTCCTAATTTGTCTTCCTGTTTTCACACCTCCACTAATCTATTATTTATACCATAGCCATAGTGGTATAAAAATATAAATCAGACTATGTCCCTTCCCTGATTAAAATATTTAGATGGTGTTCCATTGCATTTAAAATAAAATGCAAACTCCTAACTGCCTTCCTTTCCAACCTCATGTCACTTTACTCTCCACTTTGCTTACTCTACTCCAGACATATTTGTCTTCTTTCAGGATCTCCCAAATCCCCAGTTCTCTCTGATTCCAGGGGCTTTACGTAGGATACCTAGATGCTCTCTCACTTGCTCTTTACCTGGCTTATTCCTACCTGTCCTTTGTGTCTCAGTTTCAACATCACCTTCTCCAATAGCCTATCACTGGACCTTCCCCCATTCTAAATTATATACCTCTTATTTTTCTCTCTCATAATACCTTTTCTCTTTTATAACAATCATATACTATTATCAATTCATAGCAATATTGTTATATTAATAATGTTAGAAACAAAGAAGTAAAGAAAATAAATGATTTAAAATAGTAAGAACTTTAAGTGTTAATTTACTGGTTTCCAAAACCTCTTAAACAAAGCATTTGCAGAATATAGGGTATATATCAAATCCTAGGAAACACACCAGCCTGGCTGCAGCGATCACATCGTGAACACTCCGGAGCATTAGGTCTTCCACTTGAATGAGCCACTTTTCCACAGCACCCCGCGCTGCAGACGTGGAAATGAGTGCAATCAGCTCCACTCGCTCGCCCTCAGAGCTATACATGGCTTTAATGTCCAAATTGGGAAGGAACTCTAATTTAGCAATGCCCTCAAAGCATTTTTTTAAATGTGGCTGAACTCTAAGTGGATCTTTGGTCTCTGATAAAATCTCTAACATTTCATCATTAGATAAGAAGAAAAAACTAGGGAAAAACATGCAAATACAAAAGTTTTAGTTATAATTCATCACACATAAGAAAATGTTTTTAATTACAGCACAATTGATTATTTATCATACCGAGGGAAGAAAAGACGTTTCTTTTCAAGATATGCGTTAAGACCTTTCATAATTTTCTCCAAAAGTTCATTGCAGTTCTGTAGTTTTTCCAATAAACCTGTTAAAGAAGTGGCAGCAAGAACCTAAACGAGACACATGCATTCAAGTCAGCACTTTTATGCCAGATATAATTATGACTTAAATATCAATCTATACTATATGTTAAAATCTTTTAATGTTAAAAGGTTTATGAAAAAATGTCAAAGGTTTATAAAATTTGCAATGAAATTTTTTGTAGTGTAAAAACTATTAAAATTCAATAAGTTACAAATACTTATCCAAGGACACTAGTTAAAATGACAAGTTATGATTGTCGTGCATATTGTCATTTCTCCTATATTATTTCGAATGATGTGAGAAAAGTCTGTTTGGCTGGTGCTCGATTTAATTCTTACTTTTACTACTGTCAACCATAAATGTAACAATTTACAGCAAGGAGTTGGCAAACTACATCCTGCAGACCAAATCCAGTCTGTTGTCAGTTTTTGTATAAGTTGTAAGCTAAAAATTATTTTCACACTTTTAGAAGTTAAAAAAATCAAAAGAAGAATATTTTGTGACATATGAAAATATCAGTGTCCATAAAATTTTATTGTAGCACAGACACACTCATTCATTTACAGATTATCTCTGGCTGCTTTCTCACTGCAACGACAACAGAATTGAGTAGCTGCAAGAAAGATCTGTCCTGCAAAGCCTAAAATATTTACTATTTGGACCTTAGCAGAAAAAAATTGCTGACCTCTGATCTACAAGAAATCATGTTTCACAAAGATTCTGAAGTCAACAGGTAAAGCAAAATCCTTAAAACTCATAAATTTCAGTGTACTACTGACTCTCAGTAAGTCCAGCACAGCTAGTTTTTCATTCAGCATGGGAATAAATTGTTATTTCTTAAATTGAATACCAGATGAAAAAGTGGATGCATATCTATGGACTATGTTCACTGTGTGTATGAAAAATATATAGTCTGTCTTTCAACATTTACTGGGAGAGACATAGGAACTGAGTGAGACCAATGGAGAGAACAGCAGATTCTTCCCCATCACTCCGAGTACACAGAGTCACTAGTAGAATGTCAGGTGAGTCACCTACACTATTCATTCTCTCTCCCTCTCTCTTGTTCTCACTCTCTCCTCTCTCCATTTGATTTGATTTATCTATTTATTTTATGAGGAGGAGAGCAGTGAGTGTTTATAGTAGAAGGCATGTGAATCAGATGTACATTTGAAGCAGCTCCACCAGGTATACTAAAGAGTTACAAGCAATGTATCTTATGAATTGAAAAGTAAACTTATTTTAATACTTTTATGCTTTCTTATATTTTTCTGAACTTTCCAGTTTGTATACAATGAGCAAGTTTAATTTTTATAATCAGAAAAAAAGTCACATGTTTTACTTAATTTCCAAAAACAAAGGTTCACCTACTGTGAGAGAGAAAACAAACACTTCACCTTTGGATCTTTAGCACAAAACTTCATGATATCTCTCCAGTGTCTGTCTACTGTCTGAAATTGACGCCCTTCTTCTGGCATCTGTTGCATGATATCCTCAGAACAAAAGATGGGCTCTAAGTACAGCCATTGAGCTTGTACTTTTAACCATTCATCAATTGTTTCTTGTATTCGAATCAAGCGGTCCTCCCAGGCCTTAATGAAAAGTATACTGCACTAAATTCTAGTTATTAAAGAAAGGCTATAAATTATAGCAAGGAAAATACATTTTAAATTTACTATTATTTTTAAATAAGTGCAAACATCTCACAGCTTAAGGTTACTTATGTATGTCTCACAAAGGCTTAGAAAAATTCTAAGAGGTCTGAAGTTTTCCTAAATCACTGGAACTCACAATTGGAAATGACTGTAACATTATTTTGACCAGTTTCCTAATTTCTCGGTGAGCCATCTGGAGTCCCAAAACCATCCAAGAATATATCCTTCTCTACCAGCAGTGGTTATCAACCACAGGCAATTTTGCCTCCCACCCCAGGGAACATTTGACAATGTCTGTAGACATTTTTGGTTGTCACAACTGATGGGGGAAGATGCTACTAATGTCTAGTGGGTAGAGGCCAGAGATGCAGTTAAACAACCTATAATGTAGAAGACAGCCCCCATCACAGAGAATTATAGAGCCCAAAATATCAACAGTGACAGGTTGAGAAATCCTGCTCTACTCTACATCAACACAATTTGGAGAAAAATGAACTGAAATGAAAAATAAAATGAAATAAGCCTCCTTATTCTCAAGATCCCCTAGAAATGACAAGATATTTCATTAGCTGAAGACCATTAATATAATATCTCTCTTTGGTTCTTAAATATGTGCCTAAGGTCTATGTGTCAAGAGATTGTCTCATATCTTCGATTTTTAAAAAATCTCTACGACAGCTTTTAAATTTGTCTTCTAAATTCCCCTTGTTAGACAAGTAAATTTCTACAAAAAAGTAATATCTTATCAGGAAAGGCTAGGTTAGCCTGCTTCTTGGGATAATGTCCAGCCTTATGTCCTCTTGGAAGAACATTACTCTGTTTTCTCCGAATAATGACAGCCAAAATCTTCTATAAAACAATAAATAAATCTTCTATTTATGCTCATATTAAAACCAAACTGCCTTGGTTTGAACCCCAGCTCTGTCACTTATTAGCTAGATGAACTTAGAAAAATTGCCTATCCTCCTATATGTTGGTTTCCTTGTCCATGAATACAGATAATAACAGTGCCTACTTTGAAGGTCTGCTGCAGGGATCAAGTGGGTTAATAAGTGCAAAGTTCCAGAGCAGCATCTGAAACATAGTTTCAAATCAATTGATATCAGGGTAAAAAATCCAGTTGTCTTTCCCCAATTTATATAGTCCCCAGTTAGGATAGTTTTCATATCCAATAAGATATGAAATAATCTTGGAGCCTCAAATACCATTTGTTTTTCTCAAGTGAACAATAATTCATTAATTACTCTAAAAGATCCTTATGCTAGCTGTTTACAACTATAATTAAAGTATGGTTACTACAAGTTACAAGAATGCAACAAAAAACAGGGTCTAGGTTTTCTAAAGTTAGAATAAGTAATACCACCTGTTTTCCTCTCAAGTCTATCACTGCCATTGGAGAAGATTTTAATAAGACATTTTTCTTTTAAAAATCATTTATGTCTCAGATGTATATATTTCTATATTAAATTTTGAATATCATTTTGTATTTTATGAAATAAAATATCAAAGTTATAGGTCTATGATTTGAATAAACACTTAAAAAACCATCCAATAAGCTACTTATTACCATGAGAGCGTATATGTAATAGGATTGCAATCCGTATAAATGACCAAGAGCTGATTATCACATTTAACATACCTTGATCTCATGTTCAAATGGTTTGATGAAAGGTGAGCCTCTCATTGTCTGAGTTTTTATAATTTGATCATCAAGGATGGCCTGAATCTCATCCACCGAAGAAAGAATACAGACTCCAGTGTCACGATACAGACTTATATGAAAAGCAATATCTTCCCAAGTTCCTATCATTGTATTCATGGCTTTCTCTAATGAAAATTCCTAAAACGGAGGAATGAAGAAAGAACGGGATGGTGAAGAAAGGATCTTATTTACTATATTGACTTTCCCTAGTGAATTCAGTAAGAATTTGATGTATTACATTATCATTTCCTTAAGATAATCTGTGAGTACAGTATAACTTTTTAAGTTAGAAGGTTTTTCAACAATTTAAAAATTCCTAAGAAGAACGATTATGTAGTTTTAAAGAATTCACTTGCTATGAAAACTACTGCTGTCAATATTAAAAATGGACAAGAGAATAAAATACCTGTAGGACTTTCTCTGAAGTGGCCTTTCTATGGCAGCCCATAGTCTGAAGATGTTTTCTGTGTACTTCAAGAACCCATTCTTTAGGGCCATACTTACCCTGCTAGAACACATACATATCACATGCCACATATACAACAGTACTCTTAATGGAAAAATTATGTACCAACACTAGCACATCATCCAACGACATTGGAATGTGGCAGAATTAAGAGGAGATCAAAGGAGTCATTTCTCGTCTGGATTCAGGACAAGTAAGTACACACTTTGGGGGGGAGGAAAGAGTGTTTTGTTTTGTTTTGTTTTGTTTTTGAGACAGAGTTTCGCTCTTGTCACCCAGGCTGGAGTGCAGAGGTGTGATCTCAGCTCACTGCAACCTCCACCTCCCGGGTTCAAGCAATTCTCCTGCCTCAGCCTCCTGAGTAGCTGGGATTACAGGCACCCACTGACATGCCCAGCTAATTTTTGTATTTTTAGTAGGGATGGGGTCTCACCATGTTGGCCAGGCTGGTCTCAAACTCCTGACCTCAGGTGATCCACATGTCTCGGCCTCCCACAGTGCTAGGATTACAGATGTGAGCTACCGCACCCAGCCGGAGAGTGGTCTTCTATCACTCTCCCCCATCACCTCCCGCGCTATCCAGTACTATACACATTCAACCCCAACAAAAACTATGATTACTTGATTAACGAAGTCATCACATAAAGTATTTCAGTTGATCTTTATGTTTACCTTGCTTGCACCTGCACTTATCACTTCAAATTGTTCCAAGTATGGGGTAAGGTTTAATTTTAAAACTTTTCTCAGTGTAGTTCCAGAGTCTGGAGTCAAGTCATAGCCTACAATTTCTGATATCTGTTTCCAGTGACGAGCTCTCATTCCTGGATTGCACAGAATGGAGACAGTAGGAATATATTCCTAATGGCAAAAATATAAACAATTATGAGTCACTCATTTGACTTCCACACACATAGATTCCATAGATGAAGCCTTGATGATATAAGGGTTACATTTCTTCAATTTATTTAATATATTTCTATCAGTACAATCAAAACCTCAATTAGATTTGGAAGGAGAGAGATACTAAGAAAATGAACCTAAAGTTCCCTGCAAAAATAAGCATATAAAAATAGCCAGGAAAATTATAAGAGTAAACAAGAAGAATGAAGGGCCAGGCACAATGGTTCATGCCTGTAATCCCAGCACTTTGGGAGGTTGGGGTGGGAGGATTGCTTGAGCCCAGGAATTTGAGGTTACAGTGAGCTAAGATTGCAATACTGCACTCCGGCCTGGGTGACAGAGTGAGGACTTGTCTCTATTTAGAAAAAAAAAAAAGTATTATTTTAGAAATTCAAATTCATTATATATACTATTTGCAGAAATATATAATATATAGTTATAAACACACATACATAGCATGAATGGGGAAAATATGTGTGCCCAAATCCCAAAATGTAACAATGTTTTATCTCTGCTGAGTGACGCCTGCCTTGGCCTCCCAAAGTGCTGGGATTACAGGTATAAGCCACCATGCCTGGCCCCCTATTTTATTTTTATATGAGTCATGTTTTAACTTTGTATAAGTAATAATTTAATATTGTAAATTTTTTTAATTGGAGGACCATAAACTAGCACACTTTTTGTTTTGCTTAGTTAAGGACTTCGTTTTAACCTTCCATTGGTTATCACCATCATGTTTTTGCTTATCATCACATATTCCCTAGAATTCATCAGAACATAATATAACAGGCACTCAGTAAGTATTTTTTAAATAAGTGAAGTTTTAACATCTAAAAAGTAGAAAGGACATACTCTTTATTTATTTATTTAGACAGAATCTTGCTCCGTCCCCCAGGCTGGAGTGCAGTGATGCGATCTCGGCTCACTGCAACCTCCGCCTTCTGGATTCAAGAGATTCTCCTGCCTCAGCCTCCCAAGTAACTGGGATTACAGACTCCTGAGTAGCCTCATGAGTAGCTGGGTCACACAAAAGTGAAAAAACTCCAAGCAGATGAGCAGACAGTAAGAGAATCGGACTTCCACATCTGCATTGCCCCTCCCTCTATTCTGTCTGGTACCAAGAGGGCAGAAAATTTCCCCCCAACTCACTGTTTCTACCCTGATAAGAGCAAGGTCAAAGTGGACAACCAGCTACCCCACCACCCTGGGTTCCCTAGCAGGAGACCTGCCCTGCCTTAACCCACAGGAAGCAACGCCAGTGCCTGAAGGGATAAATAATTCCTGTGGACAAGCAGAGACAAAGGGAGGAAGTGGCACTACCATCCCCAGCCCTGGAAATGTTACTCTGTAAGCCACAGAAGATGCCAAATCAGAGTGGCTATTCTGCAGCACCACACTGTAGGAGGTTTGTCCCACAGGTCTCCTGGGCACAAACTCCTAGCCAGCTTCCCACATTGCCAGAATATACCCTGTGGGACCGTCCGCATTCATTAAGGGCAGCGCTCCCATCAGGTACTAGACCCAAGCCAAACCTGGGCTTAAGGTGCCACTTGGAGCTGAAAAGGAAGCAGTGACCTAGCGGTAAAGAAACTCTAAGCAAATATATCCAATATAAACCAAAACAAGCCAGACAAAAAACACTGGAATAAATAATACTTCAATGCAAAGACAGATGTACATCCAGCAAAAACAACAGCAAACAGGGAACCATGATCTCCACAAACAGAAGCAGCAAAGAACCAGTAACTGACTCTAACCAGACAGGGATATGTGAGCTCTCTGACCAACAATAAACAACTAAATTCCTAACTAGACTGATCAACAAAAAGGAGAGAAAATTAAAATAATCAATATTTAGAATTAAAAAGGAGTTAGCACTATAGATTCTACAGACATTTAAAAGATAATAAAGAAATGTTATTAGCAACTTTATGGCGACAAAATCAATGACTTAGAAGAAATGGACAAATTCCTTAAAACTACAATCTACCAAAATTAAACACAAAATCTGAATAGCTCCTATATCTATTAAAGAAATTCTCTTTTCCGTCCCCTAGAGGGGGAATTGGCACAGGACTTGCTTCAGCCAATGTAATATGGGTGGATATGAAGTATGTCACAGCTGAGTGGAAGATCTAAACTCAGGTACATGGTTTAGCTCAGCCCTTGCTCTTTCTCTCTAACGCGAGATTGGCCCACATTAGCTCAGGACATAGCCTGTGTCCTGGAAGTTAGAAAACTCAGGAGCAGAACAAGACTGCAACTGGGAGCAGAGACTTAGCTAACCCGTGGTCCTCATGGAATATGAAGAAGAAATAAATAAGTACTTGAAAAATATATATATAGAGAGAGTCTGTTTTAAAAACCTTTCCTACAAACAAAACGTCAGGCTAAATGGTTTCATGAGTGAATGTTTCTCTAAAATAAGAAAGAAATAATATCAATTTATAAAAAAACTCTTTCAGAAATAGAGAAAATAAAACTTCCCAATTTGTTTTATAAGGCCAACATAACCCTGATACCAAAATCTGACAAAGACATTACAAGAAAACTAAGACCAAGATCCTTCCTGAACATAACCTCAAATATCCTGAATGAAATATGAACAAATAACAAACTATAAGAGTATTAGAAAAAAATATTTTGACATGGGGAAGGCATTTTAAACTACAGTTCAGAACCCAAGAGCCATAAAGGAAAAGAATAAAAATAATTACATAAAATTAAAAGGGTTCTGCAAGGCAAAAGCTATCATAAGCAAGGTCAAAAAGCAAATAATAAATATTCACATCACAGACAAAGCCTAATCTCCTATATATACAAGAAAAGAAATCAATAAGAAAAAGGTCAATAATTCAACAGAAAAATAGGCATAGGTAAGTTAAAACAGTTTACAGGAAAAGAAATATAAAACACTCTTAAATATATGAAATATATGAAAATATGCTTAAAATTTTACTTGCAGTAAGAGAAATGAAAATTCTCCTAGTAGAGTAGCAAAAACCTAAAGTTTGATGATATTTTGTTATGAAGGTTGATGAGAGTATATATTGGTATAACTTCTATGGAGGGTAATTCAACTGTAGATTTTAACCTGGCATTTACTCTTCCACAATTTACCCTGCAGTCACACCTTCAAACACATGCAATTCACACACACACACACACACACACACCAGATTAGTCATACATTATATAGGTGTGAAAAAAATGAAGAAGCTCCCTATATACAAGAAGAAAAGGTCTCCAAGATAAATTAAGCAAAACAAAGAAAGAAAATAATATACATTGTATGCTACACTTCATGTAAAAAGATAGAAGGATAAGAATATATACTCACATTGTTATATATGTAATAAAACTCTGGAACTATACACAAGAAGGTAATAACATTGATCACCTGAGTTATACAGGTGAGAACCATGAGGAGACTTTTCAGATGTCTCTTTTTATATTTTTTAGACCACGCAAATGTATTCAACATTGAAAATAATTTTTAAGTTAAAAAAATCAGACGGCCATGGAATCTCTGAGATGAATAGACATAGACAGGAACAATGCTTGAATCCAATCACAGAGTTTGCACTCTGGGCATGCTGACAGTGGAAATTTAAGGATGTATTACTGACTGTCAAAAAAACTGTTCTTATTCTCTCTTTATAAATGAGAGGACCGAGGCACAAGTGGCTAAATATCTTGCTCAAGGTATGCCACTGCCAAGTGGAGAACTGTGCTATAACTAAACAGTGTGGTTCCAAATCCTTCCCAGTAAACTGTTACCCTGTGTTGCTGCACTTAGTATAGGCTAAGTGGTCTGACCTAGTAAACTTATGCCCTTATTTTTTTTTGAGACAGGGTCTTACTCTGTTGTGCCCAGGAGTGCGGCAGTATAATCATAGCTCACTGCAACCTCAAACTCCTCGGCTTAAGTGATCCTCCCACCTCAGCCTCCCGAGTAGCTGGGACTTCAGGTGTAGCTGAATTTTTTTTACCGTGCCTGGCTAATTTTTTATTTTTTGTAGAGGTAGGGTCTCACTATGTCACCCAGGCTGGTCTTGAACTTCTGGCCTCGAATGATCCTCCTGCCTTGGCCTCCCAAAGCACTGGGATTACAGGTTACAGGTGTCATCCGCTATACCCAGCCTGCTTCCAAACCTTTCTATTTCTCTTCATTAGCACTTGATGATGAGAATAGCTCTATCAAGGTTTTTTTGAGTAATTTTGGAGTCTCGCTCTATTGCCCAGACTGGGCATGCAGAGGCATGATCTCGGCTCACTGCAACCTCTGCCTCCCGGGTTCAAATGATTCTCCTCCCTCAGCCTCCCAAGTAGCTGGGATTACAGGTATGCACCACCATGCTCAACTAATTTTTTGTATTTTTAGTAGAGAGGATTCACTATATTGGCCAGGCTGGTCTCGAACTCCTGACCTCAGATCAGGTGATCTGCCTGCCTCAGCCTCCCAAAGTGCTGGAATTACAGGCATAAGACACCATGCCTGGCCTTGAGTAATTCTTAAGATTCAGAATCCATAGGTCAACAATTTCTCTGGACTCAAAAGCCTTCATCTAAGCATTTTGCAAATGCTAAAATTTTTTAATGTATTCATCTAGAAAAAGTAGTTATAACCTCACTTCAAAGTTTGGATTATGCTGAATTAATGGTAGGCTATTTTATTATGTTTGTTTAGTTTTATTATAGTAAATTATAAACAATGGTATACTCTTCCTATGTTTTCCATAGGAAAATGACTTAGTGTCATTTTCAGGAAGTATGCAATCTGCCCTAATAGGTCTGAGCAATCTTCTACTGCCTTTCTTGGGCCAGAGGAATTCTTTGCCCCAGTTTTGCCAGATCTGGCTTTATATGTGTATTCTCCTTGATCTGCCCCAAATATGGCTGCCATTCACCACCTAACCAGCCTTTCCTACACTCCACAGTGGTGCTTCATGATGAGGAGCTAAAGTTGTGGGAATGAGACACCAAAACATCAAAGATGCAAACAGATGTAATTCAAAAGATGAGAGGAATAAAATGCCCTCTCTTGCCCTTACCACTTCCTCCCAAAACCAATCACTCAGCTCTGTCACAAGTACCCATGCCTAGAACAGAGGTGGGAGTGAATACATTAAAAAATTTTAGCATTTGCAAAATGCTTAGATGAAGGCTTTTGAGTCCAGAGCTTGACCAAGAGGCTGAGGCATAGCAGAGGAATTTAAAATCTTATTTTTTTCTGATTGTTTCTCCTCAGTACCTTCATTTGGCCATACTCCTTTGATTACAAGTGACAGAGACCCAATTCATTAGCCAAAGGGGAAGAAATAGTGTCTTATTCTTGAGCCTAGGAGTCTGAGGCTGCAGTGAGCTATGACTATGCCACTGCACAGTCAACAGAGTGAGACCCTATCTAAAAAGTAATAATAGGCCAGGTGTGGTGGCTCATGCCTGTAATCCCAGCACTTTGGGAGGCCAAGGTGGACAGACTGCTTGAGCACAGGAGTTTGAGACCAGCCTGGGCAACACAGCAAAACCCCATCTCTTCAAAAAATTAGCCAGGCATGGTGGTACACACCTGTAGCACCAGCTACTCAGGAGGCTGAGGTGGGAGGATCGCTTGAGCCCAGGAGGTGGCAGTGGCAGTGAGTCACCACTACACTCCAGCCTGGGAAATAGAGCAAGACCCTGTCTCAAAAATTATTAATAATAATAAATAATAAACATGTAAAACCAGAAGATAGGCTTTATAATTTATATATTAGGTAACAGAAAAGTTGAGAAGATAGCTATAATATTAAAATGTTATTATATATATTTATACCTTAAAAGCTTTTATCTGTTCCATGACTGTACTGCACATAGTAATAGTAGCATTGTCTTTTGGTTCTTCTTCAATTTTCTCTTCTTCCAAAGACCGTTTTCTTGCTGCCTTTCTTTTTTCTTGTAATTCTTTCTTTAGCTTCGTTTGGAAAAATTTTAGTGTCTTAAAAATTTCTCGGGAAAACTCTTCCACATCAGCCTCCATGCTTTCCCCATTGAGGTCCAAAAACCCTCCATCCATCCACCTGAATGGAAAGAAAAAATATTATTAAACTCAGACTTTTGAAGTTTGAAGGGGCCTTAGAGATCCTTTAGGCTAGACCCCTTGTTTTTTAAGAGAGAAAAATGAGGGCAAGAGCTGTTAACAGTTTTTCTCAGGCACACAGGTAGAGCTGATGGTAGAAAAGACAGAACTAAAATAATCATTTTGACTATGCTGCATGTGCTAAAATATGTATCAGATTATAAATGGATGATTAACAGTACCCACATAAAATGCAGGTTCACATTAGAGAAATGCAAATCAAACCACAATGAGAGACCATCTCCCATCAGCCAGAATGGCTATTATTAAAAAGTAAAACAAAAAAACAAAAAACAGATGCTGTGGAGAAAAGGGAATGCTTATACACTGTTGCACTATTGATGGGACTGTAAATTAGCTGAGCCACTGTGGAGAGTAGTTTGGAGATTTTTCAAAGAATTTAAAACAGAACTACCATTTGACCCAGCAATCCCATTACTGGGTATATACCCAAAGGAAAATAATCATTCTGCCAAAAAGACACATGTACTCGTCTGTTCATCACAGCACTATTCACAATAGCAAAGACATGGAGTCAACCTAGGTGCCCATCAACAGTGGATTGAATAAAAAAAATTTGGTACATATACACCATGGAATACAATGCAACCTTAAAAAAGGATGAAATCATGCCCTTTGCAGCAACATGGATGCAGCTGAAGGCCATTATCCTAAGCAAATTGATGGAGGAACAGAAAACCAAATACCTCATGTTCTCACTTTGAAGTGGGAGCTAAGCCCTGGGTATACATGAACATAGAGATGGGAACAACAGACACTGGGAACTACTAGAGGTGGGAGAGAGGGAGGGGAGCAAGGGCTGAGAAACTACCTATTAGGTGCTGTGCTCACTACCTGGGAGATAGGATCATTTGTACCCCAAATATCAGTGTCATGCAATATACCCACGAAACAAACCTGCACATGTTACCGAATCTAAAATAAAAGTTGAAATTATAAAACAAAAATAAAAATAAAATGCAATTTGACTCCATACTTCTAATTTTGGGGGTAAACATTAGTGAAATTAATCTATTGTATTAAAAAGGGAATTGACTCTCAGAAACCAAAATGACAACTCATATATTATATATATATATTTTTCATGTCAGAAGGGTAATGTGCCGACATTGTAACAACGTTTGAGGGAGGCATATCTCTCACACATGAGCATGAAAATCCAATCATTATGCTCATAAACCAGAAAAGGATCTCAGATATTGTATTAGTAAGGTTAGTGGGACCTTAGCAGCACTGGATGTTTCTCCTACATGGTACCTGGTTCTCTTTCAAATGGACATATAAATCCTACTTTTAAACACTTAACCAAAAAAAAAATCAATTTATATTTTACAAATTATTTTCTATCATTTGCTTGATTTTTATTACATTACCAGCAATTACCGTTTTTCTGATCGCTGCCACTTCAAAACAAAATTAAAAAACTTCTGATAGGGCTCAATGTTAACTTTTAATTTATCCAGTTCAGGATATTTTGTCAATTCCCACTTGAAAAGTTCCTCTTCTTTATTAATAAACTGCACTGCTTCTTCAGATTCCTGAATACGTTTTTGTAGTTGTCTTACATCTGTCACATACTGAAAGTAAATAAGTTTTTTGTCTTAAAAAAAATTCAAGTAATGTTATAAAAATAAAATCCTATGATACTGTGTACAATATGTCCTTGTATTTATACAACAAGTTTATTTTTAGGCTGGAGTGCAGTGGCGTGATCTGGGCTCACTGCAACCTCTGCCCCGCTGGTTCAAGTGATCCTCCCACCTCAGCCTACCAAGTAGCTGGGACTACAGATGCGGACCACCACACCCACCTAATTTTTGTATTTTTAGTAGAGACGGGGTTTTGCCATGTTGGCTAGGCTGGTCTCGAACTCCTGACCTCAGGTGATCTGCCCACCTCAAACTCCCAAAGTGCTAGGATTACAGGAGTGAGCCACTGCGCCTGGCCTATACAGCAACTTTAAATATTAACTTCACAACATAACTATGATTGAGAGCAAAAGGTACAATTATGTCTACTCTACAAATAGAGAACTGAGTCACAAGAAAGATAACATAGTTCCAGTTTTGGGCCTAAGAGTCAGGTCTTTGTTTGCCAGCCTGGGCAACATGGCAAAACCCCATCTCTACAAGAAAATACAAAAAATTAGCCGGGCATGGTGGCACATGCCTGTTAGTCCCAGCTACTCAGGAGGCTGAGACTACATATAAAGTATTTAAATACATATTTATGTATTTTACTATATATTATAGTATTAGATAAATATATATGTATATATGTAATATATAGAAAAATATAGAGTAAACATAAAAAAATAGTAAACATATTTTTCTATACTTTTAAATTTATGTTAACATGTCCTATATGACTCTATGGGCTGGCCATAGCTATTGTCTCATATATTTATCAGACCTGTTGCATGCGCTCCAGCTCTGCAAATTCTGTAAACTCCTCCATGCGGCGTGATTCTTTTTCTATTTCCAAAATAAGTTTCTCTCTCTTGGCCATTAGTTCATTTTCTTTTTTATGTTTAGCATTCTCAATTAGCTTTTTAAAAGACAATTTGATCATGTTAGTTAATCTGTAACAAAGAATTATCAAGTCAGAAATCCAAATACTGTGTATAATAATAAAAACCATCAGAGAAGTAAAAATGAGTACAAAAATAAAACAATGCCTATAATTACTAATATAAAAATGCAAAGAATAAACCACACAGAAAAACATTCCTAGATCTCCAAAGTGACTTTAACAACTTGTATTCATTAATTAAATGCTTTATTTAACAGATTCTAGGATAATAATAAAATTACCATTTATTGAGCATGTGCCATGTATCAAGAACTATTAAATATCTTACCTATATTATTACTGGTATTATTATTCTCATTTCAGAGAAAAGAAATTGAATCTTATGGAAGTCACGTTCATGTTCACAAAATCATAAAAATCAAAATCTGGATTAGAATCTTGGTTTATCTGATTGAAGGCCATGCTTTTTATTACAATACCATCTTACCTCCCAATTCAGGTTAAACTGATTTACATTAGGACTTTTTCAATATCTGAAATATATTCAGTCTGATATAAAATTGTAAATTTTATCACTGTGATATTGAACTATTTAATTTCTCTGAGTCTCATATTTCTCATCTATAAAATGGAAGAAATGGGAGCATGTGGGATTTTTATGAGAGTTAAATAATTGAATAAATGGAAAGCACTTTCTCAGTTAAGTGTTTCTATTATTAATTTATATAATAGTTCTGACTTTCTAAATGTCAGCCCCACTACTTACCAGACCTTGTGAGTTAAGCCTAACAGCTTGTCTTAAGCCTAGAGGGCCATAAGTGTGGCCAGTCTCAAACTCATATTGACACACAAAATTACTTTTAAAGTTAGATGGCCAGGAGATATGAAAATTAAATGTGAATGATGTGCTTGAAATGTCAGATTACAAAAATACATACTGAAAAATATATTTACCTCATCATTTTCATCAAAGATGGGATTAATTTTCCTAGGCCACATGAGGACAGTTGCATTTAAAGCTAAGTCTTCTTGAGGAAATAGGAAAACATCTAAAAAGTAACTCATTTGGCGTTTAGATTCCTACAAAAGAAACTCTGGATATAATATGTCATATAGAAAATCTACATCATTATGAAAAAGAGAAGAACCAACAACAATCTCTAATACCCTTTCAGATTTCAGTTTGACTCAGATTATTAACTGATATTTTATATATCACCCAAACCAGATGGGTATTTCAATAGCTGCAGTATTATTTATCTTGCTTCATGCCACATAATTGTATACTTTTATGCTAGAAATAAGGCTTTTAAAAAGTTTTCACTTACAGTTGATTTAGCATAAAGGAACTTTTGGTCCTCCCTTGTTTATGACTGAAAAATATAATTAAATCTTCAGAAGTCCTTTAATTTTGATTTTAAAGGATTTTAAATTATTTTATTCTTATAAATATTTTATTTTTGAATCTTTGATGACAAAGATTTTAGTATCTTTTCTTTTGTTTTGTATCTTCACTGACATCACCACCTTTTTGGCCTACTTCACATGTTACTGTATGCAATAGTCTAGAATATTGCGGTATGTAATAGTTCAGAAAGAGTTGAAGGTGAGTTGGCCAGGTACGGTAGCTCACACCTGTAATCCCAACACTTTGGGAAGCTGAGGCGGGTGGATCACCTGAGGTCAGGAGTTAGAGACCAGCCTGGCCAACGTGACGAACCCCCATCTCTACTAAAAATACAAAAATTAGCTGGGCTTGGTGACGCACGTCTGTAGTCCCAGCTACTTGGAGGCTGAGGCAGGAGAATTGCTTGAACCCAGGAGGTGGAGGTTGCAGTGGGCCGAGATTGTGCCACTGCACTCCAGCCTGGGCGACAGAGTGAGACTCCGTCTCAAAAAAAAAAAAAGTTGGAGGTGAGTTGCAAAGAAAAAAAACTCTTAAAACAATAGATTATCTGAGTAGATAGGTTGAATATTTTTACCCTCTATATCTTTCATTGCTCTATAAGCTGTACTGTAGTACTAATTTTTAAGAATTGAAATACAGATTCAAAGGCAAATTTGAGGTTTTTGATTTTATATTATACATATGTATACATATATATACATACATCTATATATATAATATAGATATAAAATTATGTATTGAAAATAACATTAAATATGTATTTTGTACATTCTATATATTATGTATATACAATGCACATAGAAATAAAACTTTAAAATAAAAAGCAATCCGTGTAATTCGTTATATTAATAGATTAAAGAGAAAAAGCATATGATCAACACAGTAGATGCAAAAAAGCATGTAGTGAAATTCAAAGTCCACTCATACTAATTTTTCTTTTCAAAAAACGTAGTAGCACATCAGCAATAGAAGGGAATTCACTAATCTGGCAAAAGTACCTGTATAAAACCTACAACAAATGTCATACTTAATAGTGAAATCTTGAAAGCTTTCCCCTTAAGGTTGGGATAAAGATGGGAAATCTGCCATCCACTGCTATTCAACATTGTACTAGAGTCCCAGACAGTCCATTGTTGCAAAGAAAGTAAAGTTTTGCAAATGTGTAACATTTGATCAGGAAAAACAGAACTGTCATCATTTGCAAGTTATATAATGGTATATGAAGACATTCCAAAATAATCTTCAGATAAACTATTAAAATTAAGAAGAGAAATTTAAAATATATAAAAATATTAAAGTTAAAAATTTTTTTTTGAGACAGAGTTTCACTCTTGTTGCCCAGGCTGGAGTGCAATGGTGCAATTTCGGCTCACTGCAACCTCCGCCTCCCAGGTTCAAGCGATTCTCTTGCCTCAGCCTCCCAAGTAGCTGGGATTACAGGCATGTGCCACCACGCCCAGCTAACTTTTTGTGTTTAGCAGAGACGGGATTTCACCATGTTGGTCAGGCTGGTCTCAAACTCCTGACATCAGGTGATCCACCCACGTCGGCCTCCCACAGTGCTGGGATTTTAGGCATGAGCCACTGTGCAGGGCCTAAAGTTCAAATTTTTAAATAGAAAATTTTAAAAGAAAAATTGAGCAATGGGTATTAAATTAGTATATAAAAATAAATTTTGGTCGAGCATGGTAGCTCACGCCTGTAATCCCAACACTTTGGGAGGCCAAGTCGGGCAGATCATGAGGTCAAGAGATGGAGACCATCCTGGCCAACATGGTGAAACCCCGTCTCTACTAAAAATACAAAAATTAGCTGGGTGTGGTGGTGCTAGCTGGGCGTGGTGGCGCGTGCCTGTAGTCCCAGGTACTCAGGAGGCTGAGACAGGAGAATCTCTTGAACCCGGGAGGCAGAGGTTGCAGTGAGCTGGGATCGCGCCATTGCACTCCAGCCTAGCGACAGAGCGAGACTCTTTCTCAAAAAAAAAAAGGCCAATGGAACAGAACAAGCTGCCTCAAAACAGATCTACACATATACGGACACAGTGGGGATGGTCTCTTCAATAAATATGTATTTGCTCATCTATATGGGAAAATATTTAAATTGGACCTCACATTATTTACAGAAATACATTTTCAGGATTGAAACCTAAATCTCAAAAGCAAAACTAAACAGCTTCTAGAAAAGGGTGGAAGAAAAATGTCTTTGAACCAAGGTAGGAGAGGATTTCTTAAATAAAACACAGAAAGCACTAGGTATAAAATAAAATACTGCTCCATTTAACTGCACTAAAATTAAGGCAACATGGCAAGGCCTTGTCTCCAACAGGAAGAAAGAAAGAGAGAAAGAGAGAGACAAAGAAAGAAAGAAAGATTGCTCCATTTATTATAAAATAAAAGACTGCTCCATTTAACTGCATTAAAATTAAGGACTTCTGTTCATCAAAAACACCATTAAAAAGTTAAATTACAGAGTGAATAAAAAGATACCTAATAATATATTAAAAATTACTACATTGAACTGTATACTTAAAAATGGTTAAAATGGTAAATTTTGTGTTATGTTCATTTTACCACTTTTTTAACTGCTACAAATCAATAAGGAAAAGGTACATAACCCAAAAAAATAAATGAGCAAAATGTATGTACTATCATTTCACAAAAGAGGCACTCCAAATAGCCAATAAGCATATGAAAAGTGTTCAAATTCATTTCTTTTTAGGAAAATGCAAATTGAAAATACCATAACTTTCACCCAATAGACTGGCAAAATTTAATCCATCTCACAATTGCAAGTAAGAATGTTAAAATAATAGACACTTTGTGCACTGCTAATAGGAGTCTAAAACTGGAACTACTTAGAAAAGAATTTTGCCTTAATTAGTAAAGGTGAATAAAAGCATATCTTATAACACCTGGAAGAAATGAATGAATGTGTGCACTGGGATACATGTGTTAAAATGTTCACAGAAGCATTGCCAGTAATATCAAAAGCAGAAACAACCAAATATCCAGAACAGTAAAATTTTTAAAATAAATTATTGTATACAATGTGGAATGGATACAATATGGAGTGGAATACTAGACTGCAATGAAAATCAGCTAAAGTTTAGGAACAATGACATTACTAACATAACATTGATGAGAGGCAAAAGAATATAAATGGTATGATTCCCTTTATATAAAGACCAAAATCAGAAGAAATTAACTATATTGATTAGAAATGCAAGTTTAAGTTGTATAACTATAAAAAAAAACAAGGAAGTAATCACTATAAAAATCAGAATAGGCCAGGCGCAGTGGCTCATGCCTGTAATCCTAGCACTTTGGGAGGCTGAGACGGGCAGATCATAAAGTCAGGAGTTCGAGACCAGCCTGGCCAATATGGTGAAGCCCCGTCTCTACTAAAAATACAAAAATTAGCCAGGCGTGGTGGCGGGTGCCTGTACTCCCAGCTACTCAGGAGGCTGAGGCAGGAGAATCACTTGAACCCAGGAGGCGGAGGTTGCAGTGAGCCAAAACCTCACCACTGCACTCCAGCCTGGGTGACAGAGCGAGACTCTGTCTCAAAAAAATAAAAAATAAAAAAAATCAGAATAGCACTAACATCCAGAAGACAAGGGATTATGATGGGCTTCTAGAGCGTTGGCAAGGTTCTATTTATTTTCCTAGGTGGTAATTACTGGCTGTTTACTTTAGAACATTCCAAATTGTACAATTCATGTTTTACGTAATTTTGGTATATGTGTTGTTTAACATTTTTAAAAGTTTCTTAAACAAAGAATAAGAGTAAAATATAGGTAAATAGGTACATCATCTTGTGCTGGAAAAGGTAAAAACATACTATTAAATGCAGAAACTATAAAAGAAAAAATATTTTTAAAAATCTATATTGTTTAAGGACATACACAAAATTAGTGAAACTAAAGAAATTCAAAGCTAAGGGGGTGGAGCCAAGATGGCCAAATGGGAACAGCTCCAGTCTACAGCTCCCAGTGTGAGCGACGCAGAAGATGGGTGATTTCTGCATTTCCAACTGAGGTACCAGGTTCATCTCACCGGGGAGTGTCGGAAAGTAGGTGCAGGTCAGTGGGTGCAGCGCACTGAGCATGAGCCAAAGCAGGGTGAGGCATCGCCTCACCTGGGGAGTGCAAGGGGTCAGAGAATTCCCTTTCCCAGTCAAAGAAAGGGGTAACAGACGGCACCTGGAAAATCAGGTCACTCGCACCCTAATAGTGCGCTTTTCCAACGGGTTTAGCAAACGGCACACCAGGAGATTATATCCTGTGCATGGCTCAGAGGGTCCTACACCCACGGAGCCTCACTCATTGCTAGCACAGCAGTCTGATATCAAACTGCAAGGCAGCAGAGAGGCTGGGGGAGGGGCGCCCGCCATTGCCGAGGCTTGACTAGGTAAACGAAGTGGCCGGGAAGCTCGAACTGGGTGGAGTGCACGGCAGCTCAAGGAGGCCTGCCTGCCTCTGTAGACTCCACCTCCAGGGGCAGGGCACAGACAAACAAAAGGCAGCAGAATCCTCTGCAGACTTAAATGTCCCTGTCTGACAACTTTGAAGAGAATAGTGGTTCTCCCAGCATGCAGCTGGAGATCTGAGAATGGACAGACTGCCTCCTCAAGTGGGTCCCTGACCCCCGAGTAGCCTAACTGGGAGGCACCCCCCAGTAGGGGCAGACTGACACCTCACACGGCCGGGTACTCTTCTGAGACAAAACTTCCAGAGGAACGATCAGGCAGCAACACTTGCTGTTCACCAATATCCGCTGTTCTGCAGCAACCGCTGCTGATACCCAGGCAAACAGGGTCTGGAGTGGACCTCCAGCAAACTCCAACAGACCTGCAGCTGAGGGTCCTGACTGTTAGAAGGAAAACTAACAAACAGAAAGGACATCTACACCAAAACCCCATCTGTACGTCACCATCATCAAAGACCAAAGGTAGATAAAACCACAAAGATGGGGAAAAAACAGAGCAGAAAAACTGTAAACTCTAAAAATCAGAGCGCCTCTCCTTCTCCAAAGGAATGCAGCTCCTCACCAGCAATGGAACAAAGCTGGACGGAGAATGACTTTGACGAGTTGAGAGAAGAAGGCTTCAGATGATCAAACTACTTTGAGCTAAAGGAGGAAGTTCGAACCCATGGCAAAGAAGTTAAAGACCTTGAAAAAAAATTAGACGAATGGCTAACTAGAATAACCAATGCAGAGAAGTCCTTAAAGGACCTGATGGAGCTGAAAACCAAGGCACAAGAACTACGTGACGAATCCACAAGCCTCAGTAGCCGATTCGATCAACTGGAAGAAAGGGTATCAGTGATGGAAGATCAAATGAATGAAATGAAGCTAGAAGAGAAGTTTAGAGAAAAAAGAATAAAAAGAAATAAACAAAGTCTCCAAGAAATATGGGACTATGTGAAAAGACCATATCTACGTCTGATTGGTGTACCTGAAAGTGACGGGGAGAATGGAACCAAGTTGGAAAACACTCTGCAGGATATTATCCAGGAGAACTTCCCCAACCTAGCAAGGCAGGCCAACATTCAAATTCAGGAAATACACAGAATTCCACCAAGATACTCCTCGAGAAGAGCAACTCCAAGAAACGTAATTGTCAGATTCACCAAAGTTGAAATGAAGGAAAAAATGTTAAGGGCAGCCAGAGAGAAAGGTTGGGTTACCAACAAAGGGAAGCCCATCAGACTAACAGCTGAGCTCTTGGCAGAAACTCTATAAGCCAGAAGAGAGTGGGGGCCAATATTCAACATTCTTACAGAAAAGAATTTTCAACCCAGAATTTCATATCCAGCCAAACTAAGCTTCATAAGTGAAGGAGAAATAAAATACTTTACAGACAAGCAAATGCTGAGAGATTTTGTCACCACCAGGCCTGCCCTAAAAGAGCTCCTGAAGGAAGCGCTAAACATGGAAAGGAACAATCAGTACCAGCCACTGCAAAAACGTGCCAAATTGTAAAGACCATCGAGGCTAGGAAGAAACTGCATCAAGTAACGAGCAAAATAACCAGCTAACATCTTAATGACAGGAACAAATTCACACATAACAATATTAACCTTAAATATAAATGGGCTAAATGCTCCAATTAAAAGACACAGACTGGCAAATTGGATAGAGTCAAGACCCATAGTGTGCTGTATTCAGGAAACCCATCTCACGTGCAGAGACACACTAGGCTCAAAATAAAGGGATGGAGGATGATCTACCAAGCAAATGGAAAACAAAAAAAGGCAGGGGTTGCAATCCTAGTCTCTGATAAAACAGACTTTAAACCAACAAAGATCAAAAGAGACAAAGAAGGCCATTACATAATGGTAAAGGGATCAATTCAACAAGAAGAGCTAACTATCCTAAATATATATGCACCCAATACAGGAGCACCCAGATTCACAAAGCAAGTCCTTAGAGACCTAGAAAGAGACCTAGACTCCCACACAATAATAATGGGAGACTTTAAAACCCCACTGTCAACATTAGACAGATCAATGAGACAGAAAGTTAACAAGGATATCCAGAAATTGAACTCAACTCTGCACCAAGCGGACCTAATAGGCATCTACAGAACTCTCCACCCCAAATCAACAGAATATACATTCTTCTCAGCACCACACAGCACTTATTCCAAAATTGACCACACGGTTGGAAGTAAAGCACTCCTCAGCAAATGTAAAAGAACAGAAATTATAACAAACTATCTCTCAGACCACAGTGCAATCAAACTAGAACTCAGGATTAAGAAACTCACTCAAAACCACTCAACTACATGGAAACTGAAAAACCTGCTCCTGCATGACTACTGGTACATAACGAAATGAAGGCAGAAATAAAGATGTTCTTTGAAACCAACGAGAACAAAGACACAACATACCAGAATCTCTGGGATACAGTCAAAGCAGTGTGTAGAGGGAAATTTATAGCACTAAATGCCCACAAGAGAAAGCAGGAAAGGTCCAAAATTGACACCCTAACATCACAATTAAAAGAACTAGAGAAGCAAGAGCAAACACATTCAAAAGCTAGCAGAAGGCAAGAAACAACTAAGATCAGAGCAGAACTGAAGGAAATAGAGACATAAAAAACCCTTCAAAAAATCAATGAATCCAGGAGCTGGTTTTTTGAAAAGATCAACAAAATTGATAGACCGCTAGCAAGACTAATAAAGAAGAAAAGAGAGAAGAATCAAATAGATGCAATAAAAAATGATAAAGGGGATGTCACCACCGATCCCACAGAAATACAGACTACCATCAGAGAATACTATAAACACCTCTACGCAAATAAACTAGAAAATCTAGAAGAAATGGATAAATTCCTCGACACATACACCCTCCCAAGACCAAACCAGGAAGAAGTTGAATCTCTGAATAGACCAATAACAGGCTCTGAAATTGAGGCAATAATTAATAGCTTACCAACCAAAAAAAGTCCAGGACCAGATGGATTCACAGCCGAATTCTACCAGAGGTACAAGGAGGAGCTGGTACCATTCCTTCTGAAACTATTCCAATCAATAGAAAAAGAGGGAATCCTCCCTAACTCATTTTATGAGGCCAGCATCATCCTGATACCAAAGCCGGGAAGAGACACAACAAAAGAAGAATTTTAGACCAATATCCCTGATGAACGTCGATGCAAAAATCCTCACTAAAATACTGGCAAACTGAATCCAGCAGCACATCAAAAAGCTTATCCACCATGATCAAGTGGGTTTCATCCCTAGGATGCAAGGCTGGTTCAACATACGCAAATCAATAAATGTCATCCAGCATATAAACAGAACCAAAGACAAAAACCATATGATTATCTCAATAGATGCGGAAAAGGCCTTTGACAAAATTCAACAGTGCTTCATGCTAAAAACTCTCAATAAATTAGGTATTGATGGGACGTATCTCAAAATAATAAGAGCTATCTATGACAAACCCACAGCCAATATCATACTGAATGGGCAAAAACTGGAAGCATTCCCTTTGAAAACTGGCACAAGACAGGGATGCCCTCTTTCACCACTCCTATTCAACAAAGTGTTAGAAGTTCTGGCCAGGGCAATCAGGCAGGAGAAGGAAATAAAGGGTATTCAGTTAGGAAAAGAGGAAGTCAAATTGTCCCTGTTTGCAGATGACATGATTGTATATCTAGAAAACCCCATTGTCTCAGCCCAAAATCTCCTTAAGCTGATAGGTAACTTCAGCAAAGTCTCAGAATACAAAATCAATGTGCAAAAATCACAAGCATTCTTATACACCAATAACAGACAAACAGAGAGCCAAATCACGAGTGAACTCCCATTCACAATTGCTTCAAAGAGAATAAAACACCTAGGAATCCAACTTACAAGGGACATGAAGGACCTCTTCAAGGAGAACTACAAACCACTGCTCAACAAAATAAAAGAGGATACAAACAAATGGAAGAACATTCCATGCTCATGGGTAGGAAGAATCAATATCGTGAAAATGGCCATACTGCCCAAGGTAATTTATAGATTCAATGCCATCCCCATCAAGCTACCAATGACTTTCTTCACAGAATTGGAAAAAACTACTTTGAAGTTCATATGGAACCAAAAAAGAGCCTGCATTGCCAAGTCAATTCTAAGCCAAAAGAACAAAGCTGGAGGCATCACGCTACCTGACTTCAAACTGTACTACAAGGCTACAGTAACCAAAACAGCATGGTACTGGTACCAAAACAGAGATATAGACCAATGGAACAGAACAGAGGCCTCAGAAATAATGCCGCATATCTACAACCATCTGATCTTTGACAAACCTGAGAAAAACAAGCAATGGGGAAAGGATTCCCTATTTAATAAATGGTGCTGGGAAAACTGGCTAGCCATATGTAGCAAGCTGAAACTGGATCCCTTCCTTACACCTCATACAAAAACTAATTCAAGATGGATTAAAGACTTAAATGTTAGACCTAAAACCATAAAAACCCTAGAAGAAAACCTAGGCAATACCATTCAGGACATAGGCATGGGCAAGGACTTCAAGCCTAAAACACCAAAAGCAATGGCAACAAAAGCCAAAATTGACAAATGGGATCTAATTAAACTAAAGAGCTTCTGCACAGCAAAAGAAACTACCATCAGAGTGAACAGGCAACCTACAGAATGGCAGAAAATTTTTGCAATCTACCCATCTGACAAAGGGCTAATATCCAGAATCTACAATGAACTCAAACAAATTTACAAGAAAAAAACAAACAACCCCATCAAAAAGTGGGCAAAGGACATGAACAGACACTTCTCAAAAGAAGACATTTTTGCAGCCAAAAGACACATGAAAAAATGCTCATCATCACTGGCCATCAAAGAAATGCAAATCAAAACCACAATGAGATACCATCTCACACCAGTTAGAATGGCGATCATTAAAAAGTCAGGAAACAACAGGTGCTGGAGAGGATGTGGAGAAATAGGAGCACTTTTACACTGTTGGTGGGACTGTAAACTAGTTCAACCATTGTGGAATTCAGTGTGGCGATTCCTCAGGGATCTAGAACTAGAAATACCATTTGACCCAGCCATCCCATTACTGGGTATATACCCAAAGGATTATAAATCATGTTGCTATAAAGACACATGCACACGTATGTTTATTGCAGCACTATTCACAACAGCAAAGACTTGGAACCAACCCAAATGTCCAACAATGATAGACTGGATTAAGAAAATGTGGCACATATACACCATGGAATACTATGCAGCCATAAAAAAGGATGAGTTAATGTCCTTTGTAGGGACATGGATGCAGCTGGAAACCATCATTCTCAGCAAACTATTGCAAGGACAAAAAACTAAACACCGCATGTTCTCACTCATAGGTGGGAATTGAACAATGAGAACACATGGACACAGGAAGGGGAACATCACACACCGGGGACTGTTGTGGGGTGGGGGGAGGGGGGAGGGATAGCATTAGGAGATATACCTATGTTAAATGACGAGTTAATGGGTGCAGCACACCAACATGACACATGTATACATATGTAACTAACTTGCACGTTGTGCACATGTACCCTAAAACTTAAAGTATAATAATAAAAAAACAAAGCTGTGCAACATTGAAAAAAAAAAAAAAAAGAAATTCCAAGCTAAAATTACTGTAAAAATCAACTGGAAACCTCTAGAAGAGGACAGGGGAGAAGGAGAGGCATGGCGATCAGAAAGTTATATGCAGAGTCCTGGGGTGCTGACAATATCCTATTTCTTGGCCTAGGTGGTGGCAATATAACCGCTCAATTTACAGCTATTTGTGTAACTATATATTTTATACATCTTCACCATGAAAATAATATTTCACAATGAAAACAAACCAAAATATGCAAATTAAAATTCCTTACCTGGATCCTTAAAATCAACTCTTCGATTCCTACAGTCCGGGCTTTTTCTACATAAGATATCAGATCCATCATCTCTTCTGTTGTTTCAGGGACTTTTAATGCATGTTCTTTAATTGCTTCAAATTCACTGCAAATACTGACATAATACTCTGCTTTAATAGACTTATGGCAATTAATGTTATATCATATTCAATAAATGTGTGTTATGACGATTACTATAAAATAAGAACTATGATATCCTAAAAAAATTGCTTGATTCACTAAGGTATCTTAAAAATATTTAAGCTTGGCCAGGCACAGTGGCTCACACCTGTAATCATAGCACTTTGAAAGGCCAAGGCAGGCAGATCACTTGAGCTCAGGAGTTCAAAACCAGCCTGTGCAAAGTGGTGAAACCCTGTCTCTACAAAAAAAAAAAATACAAAAATTAGCTGGGCATGGTGGCACATGCCTGTAGTCCCAGCTACTTGGGAAGCTGAGGCAGGAGGATCACTTGAGCTTGGGAGGTTGAGCTACAGTGGGCCATGATTGCACCGTTGCACTCCAGTCTGGGTGACAGAGTGAGACCCTGTCTCAAAAAAAAAAAAAAAAAAAAAGCTTATCTGCTATAATTCAGTATATACTATACATCAACAAAACCTACAAAATTAAGGTAATATTTACATGCAAAATTATGGCATATTAGAAAAAAATTTTAGCGACCTCTTCAACTCTCTTAAATACCCAGGTAACACTCATCTTTCTGGATTGTTGTAATACAACAATGAATGCAAAGGGTCTAGCACATAGTACACTCTATTTACTGATAACTATAATCATTAGTATAATTATTAGTTTTATTATTATTAGTGCCTCTTGTGAAACATGACAGTACAGCAAGTAAACAGATCAAACCCTCAAACTCTTATACATAGTTTCTTTAATTAACAGTTCTCTTAGAATATCCCATGTAGGATATGAACCTAGATATCCTACAGCATTATTCAACTAAAGTTACATTTCATGGAATTTTTTCCTGTGCTTTAAAATATCTGGGCCAAACTAATCTTTGATAAAGCATACAAAAACATAAATTGGGGAAAGGACACCCTATTCAATAAATAGTGCTGGGAAACCTGAACAGCCACAGGATCTCCATCTCTCACCTTATACAAAAATCTCCTCAAGACGGATCAAAGACTTAAATCCGAGACCTGAAACCATAAAAATTCTAGAAAATAACATCAGAAAAAAGCTTCTGGACATTGGCTTAGGCAAAGAATCCATGACTAAGACCTCAAAAGCAAACACAACAAAAACAAAAATAAATAAATGGGACCTAATTAAACCAAAAAGCTTCTGCACAGCAAAAGAAATAATCAGCAGGGTAAACAGACAAGCCACAGAGTGGGAGAAAATATTTGCAAACTCTGCCTCCAACAAAAGACTAGTATCCAGAATCTACAATGAACTCAATCAAATCAGCAAGGAAAAAACAAATAATCTCATCAAAAAGTAGGCAAAGGACATGAATAGGCATTTCTTAAAAGAAGACAGCCAAAAAAACCTATGAAAAAATGCTCAACATAACTAATCATCAGGGAAATGCAAATTAAAACCACAATGAGATACCACCTCACTCCTACAGGAATGGCCATAATTTAAAAGTCAAAAAACAATAGATGTTGGCATGGATGTGGTGAAAAGGGAACACTTAAACTGCTTGTGAGAATGTAAATTAGTACAACCACTATGGAAAACAGTATTGAGGTTCCTTAAAGAACTAAAAATAGAACTACCATTCAATCAAGCAATCCCACTACTAGGTATCTACCCAAAGGAAAAGAAGTCATGAAAAAGACATCTGCACAAGCATGTTTATTAGCAGCACAGTTCACAATTGCAAAGATATGGAACCAACCTAAGTGCCCATCGACCAATGAGTGGATAAAGAAAATGTGGTATATAGACACCACGGAATACTACTTAGCCATAAAAAGGAATGAAATAATGTCCTTTGCTGTAACTTGGATGGAGCTGGAGGCCATTATTCTTTTTTTTTTTTCTTTTCTGAGACAGAGTCTCACTCTGTTGCCCAGGCTAGAGTGTAGTGGTGCAATACACCACAACCTTCACCTCCAGGTTCAAGCCATTCTCCTGCCTCAGCCTCCCGAGTAGCTGGGATTACAGGCGCGTGCCACCACGTCTGGCTAATTTTTGTATTTTGAGTAGAGATGGGGTTTCACATGTTGGCCAGGCTGGTCTTGAACTCCTGACCTCGTGATCCACCTGCTTCAGCCTCCCAAAGTGCTGGAATTACAGGCATGAGCCACCGCACCCGGCTGGAGGCCATTATTCTAAGTGAAGTAACTCAGGAATGGAAAACCAAATATCGTATATTCTCACTTATAAGTGGGAGCTAGGCTATGAGGATGCAAAAGAGTAATATAATGGACTTCGGGGACTCGGTGTGGGGAAGGCTGAGAGGCAGGTGAGGGGTAAAAGACTACATATTGGTACAGTGTACACTACTTGAGTGATGGGTACACTAAAATCTCAGAAATCACCGCTAAATAACTTAACTGCTAGGCGTGGTGGCTCATGCCTGTAATCTCAGCACTTTGGGAGGTCCAGGAGGGTAGATCACTTGAGGTCAGAAGTTCAAGACCAGCCTGACCAACATGATGAAACCCCATCTCTACTAAAAATACAAAATTAGCCAGGCATGGTGGCACATGCCTGCAGCCCCAGCTACCTGGGGGGCTGAGGAGATTCCAGGAGAATAGCTTGAACCTGGGAGGCAGAGGTTGCAGTGAGACTCCATCTCAAAAAAAAAAAAAAGAATTTACCCATGTAACAAAACCACTTATACCCCCCAAAACTATTGAAATTTTAAAAATTAAAATTAATTTTTTCTTTTAAAAAAATATCTAGCCCAGGCACAGAGGCTCACGCTTGTAAACCCAGTACTTTGGGAGGCTGAGGTAGGAGGATCTCTTGAGCCCAGGAGGTTGAAATCAGCCTACGCAACATGGCAAAACCATGTCTCTATTAAATTTTTTTTAATTTTAAGTAAGAAATAGAAATCGGTATTGTCATTCTATTACTAGAAATATCAGGAAAAAACCATGTAAAAACAAAGTGTAAAAGAGGTAAATGATTTTTTAGTTCATGCAGGAATTTGGAGAAATATGTGGGAAATTATACTTGCTCATTCACTCATTTAATAAATAGCTGAGTACCTACAATATGCTAAGGAAAATTCTAAATATAGCAGCAAATGAGACCCTGCCCTCATAAAGCTTGTATTGAAGCTGAGGAAAGAGACAAAAGCACACAAATATGTACACTGTTAGGTAGCAAAAAAAATGCTGAGGATCCCTTGAGCCCAGGAGTTCGAGGTGGAAGTGAGCTATAATTGTGCTACTGCACTTCGGTCCGGGCAACATAGTAGGACCCTGTCTCTAAAGGAGAAAAAAAAGCTATGAAGAAAAATAAAGCAACATAAAAGGAAAAAGAATGATGGAGTGTCAAGAAGAAGCCACTATTTTATACAGAGGGGCCAGAGAAGGCCTTTCTAGGGAGGTAATATTCAAGGTGAGGGGAAAAAACAAATGAGTTGTTCAAATACCAGGAAAAGAGATTCCAGGAAGAAAAACCAGCAAGGACAACGGCCATAAAGTGGTAATAAGCTTGGCATACTTTAGGAATGGCAAACGAAGTTGAAGTGGTGAGCAGGAATCAGATCATGTAGGACTTTACAGTTAATTATTGAATATCAGAAATACAGGAGGAATGTGGCCAGGCACAGTGGCCCACACCTGTAATCCCAACACTTTGGGAGGCTGAGGAGGGAGGATCACTTGAGTCCAGGAGTTTGAGACCAGCCTAGGCAACATGGCAAGACCTTGTCTCTAATAGAAAAGAAGGAAGAAAGGAAGGAAGGAAGGAAGGGAGAGAGAGAGAGAAAGGGAGGGAGGGAGGGAGGGAGAGAGAGAGAGAAAGAAAGAGAAAGAAAGAAAAAAAAAAAGAAAGAGAAAGAAAGAAAGAAAAAAAAGAAAAAGAAAGAAAAAAAAGAAAGAGCAAGCATTAATGTGGATAATGCAAAAAGACAGATAATCCTCCTGGGGATCATCTTGCTAGTGCAGAATCTGAGTCCTTTGGGCAGAGATACTTCAGCAAAAGAAAAGGAGGCAAACAAAATGATGAGAGCAAGATGGCCCAAGCAGATGCTAAACCAAACGGTGAAGTAAGCAAATTGCTCTTCAGTGACCTTGTACTTAACCTAGGGGCACACATTTCCTCCTTTTGATGTTATCTAAAGTACAGAATTGAAACAGGAGGAATCAAAGAATAAACTAGGTGAAGGAAACTGGATAAATTTTCAGCTGCTTTTATATCATAGCTTTATAATAAGATAATTATTTTGTGAAAAGTATGGAATTTTCCAGAAAAATCACAGATACTACAAAAATAAATACAAAAAAATTATGTTAAACATAAACTTATAAAGTGTTTTTTTTTTGTTTTTTGTTTTTTGGTTTTTTTTAACTAACTATGGCATTGTCATTGTTGTTACTCATCAGGATGGTTACAACTCTCAAGAAAGGGAAAGGTTCTAATACTTTACCCTCTTTGATATCTTCTCGTGTAGTATACTTTTATACAGAATATGCCTGATAAATTTGACTTCTGACTGTCATATATTTGCTTATTCAATTTAAGATATTTATTGGGCTCCTATTCTATGCCAAGCAAGGCACTAGATATTTTACAAATGTTATCTGTGATCCTAATATTAGTCCTGCGAGGAAGGTACTCTTTTTCTTTTTGTTTTTGTTTGTTTGTTTGTTTTTGAGATGGAGTCTCGCACTGTAGCCCGGGCTGGAGTGCAGTGGTGCCATCTCGGCTCACTGCAACCTCCACTTCCCGGGTTCAAGCGATTCTCCTGCCTCAACCTCCTGAGTAGCTGGGGTTACAGGCACCTGCCACCACACCCAGCTAATTTTTTGTATTTTTAGTAGAGACGGGGTTTCACCATGTTGGCCAGGCTGGTCTCGAACTCCTGACCTCGTGATTCGCCCTCCTCGGCCTCCCAAAGTGCTGGGATTACAGGCATGAGCCACCGTGCCTGCCTGGAAGGTACTATTTTTCATAGTTGACACAGTAGAAAACTGAGGCTCAGGAAAATTAAGTAGGTTGCCCAGAGTTATGGAACTAGTTAATGGCAATCAGTATTCAAATTCATGTCTTTCTGATTCCAAAGCATGCAATTTTTTCACTTTGCTTCCGGGAAAATAAACATAATAGTTAACATTTATTGAGTACCATGTGCCAGGCAGTGTGCTAGGTGCTATACATACATTAGTTTTCATCTTTACAGAAGTTACAAGCTTTTTTGGGGACACACAGATAACAAATGAGTTCAATAAATTGGATGATGAATTGGTTGAGCACTGGGTGAACAAACCACAGGACATATTCCCTCTCTAAAAGGCAAAGTTGCTTCTTAGCTCCATTTACCACAGCAGGCCCGATGTGGCATGGTCTTCCCACTTTTTCAAGAAAGGTAAGAAATCCAAAGTGTGTGTGTGTGTGTGTGTGTGCACGTGCGTGTGTGTACTAATTTTAAAATGATGGTAGCAAGTCCAAAATCTGTTTAAACAAAATAAAACACAGTGTGAAACAAGCAAAACACATCTACATGACACACTCAAGTAGCAGGCCACTAGTTTATGAATCCAATTTTATAGCCACCCTGAAAAGTAGGTATTACTGTCTCCATTTTACAGATGAGAAAAATAAGCTCGGTGATACAATAAGTAAATATTGAGGTCAGGGATGATCCCAGATCTGCCCAATATCACCAAAAGTCTACAATCTTATCATTATCATGTAACCTGTACCTGAATCTGGTTTATTTCCATTTCTTTTTTAAAAAAATCCTGGGTTGCATTTAAAAAGGTATCAAACAGTATCAAACAAAAAGAATCCAGCCCAATGGGACTACAAAGGCACCTCTATAGGAGGCAGCTATGGAGAAAAAGTTGTACGTACTTACATATTTTAAGCTTTTGTTTTTAAACAAGAGTTACTTTAGCAAAATACTTCTTTTAGCCATATAATTCTGAGCTTGGGAATTAATTCTACTTACCATTCATTTTCTTTTCTATATTTTGAAGCTATGTCATTTAATAATATGTTTGCAAAGGCTTTTGCTTTATTTGTCAGGCCTGTCTTCAAATCTTCACAATCCAAACGCACCATAGTGTAATGAATCCACTGAGGCAAAAGCATTATTTCTGAGGCAAGACTGAGAAATTTTTCTATAAACTTGAAAAAAAGTGTTCAAATGAAAAAAAAAATGTTTAGAACTTTCAGTGATTTTATAATATTGTATTGTTATGAAAGTCCTAATTATATAAATACAACTTTATTTCTTTTTTGCTAAGTGACTAAAATTTTTTCCCTTGTTGCATACATATTTTTTTCACCTATTCTTTCATTAAGGAATTTGTCAATATACCAGTAAATATCCAATACGATACCATTCACAGTATCAAAATCTGAACATATCACACGGTAAAATTTCCCTCAATAATTATTTTTTAAAATTATCCCCAGAGTCAACCCATTTCTCTGTTTAGAAACAAACTTATATCATGTAACAATTTGCATAGTGGATAAATATTTGCTTTTGCCATTACTGATAGCTCATTAAAGATTCTATTTTTTTCACTTTACGTCCACATGGTCAAGGATTCTAATTCAACCTTTAGGAAAAATACATATATATAAGGAACTTATTGGTTTTTGTCAAAATACTCCAAGCCAGGCATGATGGTTTGAGCCTATAATCCCAGCTACTGTTAGGAGGCTGAGGTGGGAGGATTGCTTGAGCCCAGGAGTTTGAGGCTGCAGTCAGCTATGATGGCACCCTGCATTCCAGGCTGGGTGACAGGGTAAGACTCTATCTGTTAAAAATATAATGATAATAATCCAGGAACAGATGCTCTGCAATTACCAAGATCCAAGATATTGGAATGTATGTCAACTTCTTAGTGCCCAAACACTGGGGTAATTTTTTAAAATTAAACAAAGTAGTATCAAGAAAATCTGACAGGATATGTGATACTTGGTAAAAGTGAAACACACTTACCAACTTTGGACAAACTTTGACTTAATTTCACAATCCACCTTTAATGTTTCTATCTGCCTTCCTTCTCACTTGATCTCCACTCTCTACTGAAATGGCCTGTTCCTTTTATTCTTCCTTCAGGAGAACTTTCCTTCATGTTACTCTCTCTCAATGCTGTCCTATTTTTCTAGAGTATCTAGGATGTGGTGAATTGGGTTTAAATTTTTCAGTGTTCAAGGGGGAAGATAATAATTAATTGATTCAAAGACTATCTTAAGCACCTGCCTTGTTCTTGGTTGGAAATACACCAAATAGGCCAGGCGTGGTGGCTCACGCCTGTAATCCCAGCACTGTGGGAAGCCGAGGCGGGTGGACCACCTGAGGGCAGGAGTTCAAGACCAGCCTGGCCAACATGGTGAAACCCCGTCTCTACTAAAACTACAAAAATTAGCTGAGTGTGGTGGCACATGCCTGTAATGCCAGCTACTCAAGAGGCTGAGAATCGCTTGAACCTGAGAGGTAGAGATTGCAGTGAGCCGAGGTCACACCACTGCACTCCAGCCTGGAAGACAGAGCGAGACTCTATCTCAAAAAAAAAAAAAAAAAAAACAACAAATAAAGGGTAGACAGAACTCATGGCATTGAAAAAAGATGAATATGGATAAATTTTACCATGATGAAAGAAGAAAAACACAAAAGAATATATACAGTATGATACCTTTCATACAAACTTACCGTGGACAAAACTAAACTATATTATTTAAGTATACACACATAGGTGGTAAAACCATAAAGGAAAGCAAGAAATGTCAGGGTAATAGTTACCAATAAAGACAGAAGAAAGTTATAATTGGGGAGAGGCACGTGGTGGCTTCTGGGTTTTGCAAAGTTCTCTTTCTTAAGCTACATGGTTATTAACACCTAGGTTATAATTACCTATCGGTCTATACATATGTACTATGTATGTTATATTTCACAATTACATTAAATTTTTTCATGGAACATTTTAAACATACAAAAATAGGTAAAATGTACCCATTATCCAGTTTCAACAATTAGCAACTCATGACCAATCTTTTTTTAACTATACTCCTAACTACTCCCCTGTCCTGTTTTATTTTTACACAAATCACAAGCATCTTATAAATTCATCTGTATAAGCCAGGCATGATGGCTCATGCCTGTAAACCCCCAGCACTTTGGGAGACTGAGACAGGAGGATTGCTTGAAGCCAGGAGTTCAAGATCAGCCTGAGCAACATAGGGAAACCCCCATCTCTACAAAAAAAAATAATAATTTTTTTAAAATTAGCCAGCCAGCTTGGGCAACATGGTGAAACCCTATCTCTACAAAAAATACAAAAATTAGCCAGGTGTTGTGGCGTGTGCCTGTAGTCTCAGCTATTCAGAAGGCTGAGGTGGGAGGAACACTTGAGCCCAGAAGGCAGAGGCTGCGTTGAGCCGTGATCACACCACTGCACTATAGCCTGAGTGACTGAGACTCTGTCAAAAAAAAAAAAATTAGACGGGCATGGTGGCACATGCCTTTAATCCTTGCTACTTAGGAGGCTGAGGTGGAAGGATCACTTGAGCCCAGGAACTTGAAGCTGCATTGAGCTATGCTCACATCACTGCACTCCAGCCTGGACAACAGAGACCCTGTCTCTAAAAAAATAAATAAATAATAGGCCGGGAGTGGTGGCTCATCCCTATAATCCCAGCACTTTGGGAGGCTGGGGCGGGCAGAGCACCTGAGGTCAGGAGTTCGAGACCAGCCTGACCAACATGGAGCAACCGTGTCTCTACTAAAAATACAAAATTAGCTGGGCGTGGTGGTGCATACCTGTAATCCCAGCTACTCGGGAGGCTGAGACAGGAGAATTGCTTGAACCCAGGAAGCGGAGGTTGTGGTGAGCCGAGATTGCACCATTGCACTCCAGCCTGGGCAACAAGAGCAAAACTCCAACTCAAATAAATAAATAAATAAATAAATAATAAATAAGTTCATCTGTACAGATGTTACAGTTCATCATTCTTAAATTTCCCCCAAAATAGGCATACTAACCACAACTATAGTATATCAGAAACTGACAAAGAAATCCAGGAATATGTTACTAAATCTAAAAGTAAATTTTTAAATAGTTATATAAACTATCCCAAAATTATTACAAAATTCTAGAAAATGTCACTACAAAATAATAGACCTAAGGAAATAATCATTTTCAAAGTTAATGAAGCCGGGTGCAGTGGCTCACACCTGTAATCCCAGCATTTTGGGAGGCCGAAGCAGGTGGATCATGATCAGGAGATTGAGACCATCCTGGCCAACATGGTGAAACCCTGTCTCTACTAAAAATACAAAAATTGGCCAGGTGTAGTGGTAGGCACCTGTAGTCTCAGCTACTCAGGAGGCTGAGGCAGGAGAATTGCTTGGGCCCAGGAGGTGGAGCTTGCAGTGAGTAGGGATGGCACCACTGCACTCCAGCCTGGGCGACAGGGCGAAACTCCATCTCAAAACAAACAAACAAACAAACAAACAAACAAAACTTTAATGAAACATATACTTGGTCTTGATATTTAGGACTTATAGACACTACAGGTTATACCCAGACCACAAAAAATTTAGTTGGTAATTCATAGAACATTTATTGTGTCTATTCTCTGCATAGCACTATATTGAGATATATGGTAAAATACAAATTAAAGAGAATACAGTTGGCCCTCTGTATCCATGGGTTCCATATCTGCAGAATCAACTAACAGCAGATTGAAAATATTTGAAAAAAGCCATAAAAATAACAATAAAATAATTCAAATAAAAGACAATACAGTATAACTCTTTATATAGCATTTATATTGCATTAGGTATTAGAAGTAATCTAGAGATAGTTTAAAGTATACTGGAGGATGTGCATAAATTATATGCAAATACTATACCATTTTATATGAGACTTGAGCATCTGCAGATTTTGATATCTATACAGGGGTCCTAGAACAAATACCTGCAGCTACCAAAAGACAACTATATACCATCCCTGAATTTGTGAAAGTAATAATGCATTTATGCATTCACAAAATAGTTTCATGAACCCATAAAAACCAAATAAGGTAAAAAGTATGCATATTAGAAAAAAACACATAGTCGTCTCAATAGCTGCCAAAAAAGCATTAAACAAACTGGTGTAAAGGTAGTGAGTTATCTCATTTGATTGTTCACAGTCAATCACAGATCAAACTGCTTGTTCTACTCTTTCCCCTTTCTCATTATTGGGTACTTGACCAGTCAAAAAAAAAAAAAAAAAAAAGCATTTAACGAAACCCAACACTCTTTCATGGTAAAAACACAAACTAGGAATAGAAGATAACATCCTCAACTTTCATAAGGCATGTCTAGGAAAAACCTACAACTAATATTATACTTAATGATGAAAAAATGAACATTTCCCTCTAAGATCAAGAACAAGATAAGGGTGGTTCGTGCTTGTAATGCCAGAGCTTTGGGATGCTGAGGCAGGAGGATCACTTGCATCCAGGAGTTTGAGACCAGCCTGAGCAATATAGTGAGACCCCATCTCTACAAAAAATACTAAAATTAGCTGGGTGTGATGGCACACGCCTGTTGTTCCAGCTACTTGAGAGGCTGAGGTGGGAAGATTGCTTGAGCCAGGGAGGTCAAGGCAGCAGTGAGCAGGATTCTACCATTGCACTCCAGTCTGGATAACAGAGTGAGACCCTGTCTTAAAAACAAAACAAAACAAAACAAAAATGTGTACTACATTGGCTGGGCCCAGTGTCTCATGCCTGTAATCCTGGCACTTTAGGAGGCCAAGGTGCATGGATTATTTGAGCCCAGGAGTTTGAGACCAACCTGGGCAACATAGTGAGACCTTGTCTCTACTAAAAATAAAAAAAAATAAAAATTTAGCCAGGCATGGTGGCCTGTGCCTGTAGTCCCAGGTAATTGGGAGGCTAAGGTGGGAGGATCACTGGAGTCTGGGAGGTTGAGGCTACAGTGAGCTGAGATCATACCACTGTACTTTAGCCTGGGCAACAGAGTGAGACCCTGTCTAAAACAAAACAAAACAAAACATTGTACTAAAACAAAACAAAACATTGTACTACAGGTACTAGCCAGTGAAATTAGGCAAGAAAAATAAGTAAAACGAACTCAGATTAGAAAGGAAGTAAGACAATCACTATTACACATGACATGATATTGTATACAGAAAATTCAGGGCCAAGTGTGGTAGCTCTCATCTGTAATCTCAGCAGTTTGGGAGGCTGAGGCAGGCAGATCGCTTGAGCTCAGGAGTTTGAGATCAGCCTAGGCAACATGGTGAAACCCCTTCTTTACAAAAAATACAAAAGTTATCCCACCATAGTGGCATATGCCTGTATTCCCAGCTAGTCAGGAGGCTGAGGCAGGAGGATCACTTGAGCCTGAGAGGTTAAGGCTGCAGTGAGCTGTGACAGCACCACTACAATCCAGCCTGGGCAACAAAGCAAGACCCTGTCTCAAAAAAAAAAATGTTACTAGAGATAAACAGAGATATTTTAAAATAATAAAAGGGTCAATCCATCAGAAAGATATGACATTTACACATATATTTGCACTTAATAACAGAGTACCAAAATATGTGAAACAGTAAATGACAGAAATAAATTATACTTTTTCAGTAGATTGATTGTATAATATGTGAATTACTTCTCAATAAAGTTGTTTTGTAAAATAAAAGCTAGAGTATTAGAATCAGTAAAAACTTCAGAATAAGAAATATAATCAGGGGCCAGGCACGGTGGCTCACGCCTGTAATCCTAGCATTTTGGGAGGCCGAGGTGGGCAGATCACCTGAGGTCACGAGTTCGAGACCAGCATGGCCAACAGGTTGAAACCCCATGGCTACTAAAAATACAAAAACATTAGCTGGGCGTGGTCACGGGCACTTGTAATCCCAGCTACTAGGGAGGCTGAGGCAGGAGAATCACTTGAACTCCAGAGGTGGAGGTTTCAGGGAGCTGAGATAGTGCCACATTAGGACACAAAAAGTATTAACCTCACTCTAGCCTGGGCGACAAGAGTGAGACTCCATCTCAAAAAAATATACATATATTTACATATTTTGTATATATTATATATATTTTTATGTATTTATATAATATATAAATATATAAATATTTCTTTCAAAGTTGTTATACCATTTACAGTCTCACCAGATTATATCTGCTGGTGAGATTATATATAAATATATGAATATTTTTATATATTTATATATTATTTTATATATTTTTATATATTTATATATTTTTAATCCTTGATTTTATATATATTTATATATTTATATATATTTTAAACAATGTATTTATATATTTTATAAATATATATTTTTAAAATATATTTTTATATATAAATTTTATAAATATATTTCTATATTTATATATATTTTATACTATTTTATCTATTTATATATTTATATATTTTAATCCCTGATTTTATATATATTATATATATATAAGATCAGGGACTTAAAAGGTTATTTTATAATAATAAAGAATGTTCATCAAGAAAACATAACAATCCTAAATATCTATGTATCCAAAACCAGAAATTCAATAGCCTGTGGCAAACCGAATCCTGTCAATGACCACTTGAGTGAACTTGGAATCATTCTGCCCCCAGTCAAACCTTCATGAGAACATAGCCCCAACTGACAGCTTGACTGCAACTTTATGAGAGACCTTGAGCCACAGGGACTCAGCTGATCCAAGGCTGGATTCCTGACCCACAGATACTATGAGATAATAAAGTCTGGTATTTTAAGGCACTAAATTTTGGGGGTAATTCAAGTTTATCCCAGGAAAACAACATTGGGTTAATATTTGAACATCAATAAATATAATTCAAAATATTAACAGAAAAAAGAGAAAATCCATATGATCAATTAAATATATGCCAAAAAATACTTGACAAAATTCAGCGCCCTCCCATGATAAAAACTCTTGGCAAACTTGGAATAGAAGGGAATTTCATCCACATGATAAAGGGCATCTACCAAAAACCCTACTCTTAATGTATTTAATGACGAAAATCTGAATATATTTCCCATAAGACCATAAACACAGCAAGGATGCCCTATGTCACTGCTGCTATTCAGCACTGTACTGTAAATAAAAATTGCTATTAAAAATACTATTTATGGCCAGGCGCAGTGGCTCATGCCTGTAATCCCAGTACTTCGGGAGGCCAAGGTGGGCGGATCACCTGAGGTCAGGAGTTCAAGACCAGCCTGGCCAACATGGCAAAACCCTGTCTCTACTAAAAATACAAAAATTAGTTGGGTGTGGTGGCACGCTCCTGTAATCCCAGCTACTCAGGAGGCTGAGACAGGAGAATTGCTTGAACTCAGGAGGCAGAGGTTGCGGTGAGCCGAGATCTTGCCATTGCACTACAGCCTAGGCAACAAGAGTGAAACTCTGTCTCAAAAAAAAAAAATGCTATTTATAAGAAAATCAAGTAAACCAGAAACATTTTAAGGGACAGATTTAGGAAAATATTTGCAAGAGCTGTACAATGCAAACTATAACTACATTGCTGAGCGAAATTAAAGAAGGTTCAAATAAATTTAAATACACACTATGGTCATGTATTGAAAGCTTCTATTTCAAGATGGCAGTTCTTTCCAAATTGATTCAGAGATTCAATGGAATCCTAACCAAAATCCTAGCTGGCTTCTTTAGGAATTGATAGGTTGATTTTAAAATGTATATGGAAATGCAAAGCACCTAGAACAGTCAAAATAATTTTGGAAAAAGGACAAAGTGGGAGAACTTGCACTACTTGATTTTACAATTTACCATTGAACTACAGAAATCAAGGCAGCATGGTACTGGCATAAGAACAGATACATAAATCAATGGAAAATAGAGAATCCAGAAATAGACCCACAGATATAGGGTCAATTGATTTTCAACAAAGATGGCAAGATAATTCAATGAGTACAAGATAGTATTTTTGATATATGATGCTGGGGCAGCTGGATGTCCACATGAAAAACACCTGAACAGTGACCCATATCCCACACCACATACAAAAGTTAACTTACAATGGGTCATAGACCTAAATGTGAAAGCTACAACTATAAAACTTCTAGACAATCACATGTGTTGTTTAGGAATTCTAAGAAAAGCTTCCAGAGTAAAATGTAGGAACAAATCTTTATGATCATGCAGTAGGAAAGATTTCTTAGGACACAAAACGTATGAACCTCAGAAGAAAAAAATTGATAGACTAGAATTAATTATAATATAAAATGTCTGCTCTTTGAAAGACATTGTTATAAAAATAAAATGTCAAGGCATAAACTATGAGATAATATTTGCAAAACTATTTCAGATACAAGACTTTTACCCAGAATATATAAAGAATTCTTAAAACTCCATAACATTGATTATAACAATATAGTCCAATAAAATACATCCATTATAGCTCAACAATAAAACATAAAAACCCAATTTAAAATGTACAAACAAAAGACACTTTATTTTTATTAGTAAAAAGATACACAGATGGAACATGACATGTTAAAAGATGCTAAACATCATTAGTCATCAGGGAAATGCAAATTAAAACCACAGTGGGATACCAATATACACATGAAATTAAAAAGACTGATAATCTAGATGTGAAAGTGCAGTGGGAAAAAATAAAACAATAGTAAAAAGTAAAAGACTGATAAGCCCAAAGGTTGAAAAGGATGTGGAAGAACTGGAAATCTCATACACTGCTGGTGAGATTGTAAATGGTATAACAACTTTGAAAGAAATTTAAGTTTCTTCTGTTTTTTGAGACAAAGAGTTTTGCTCTGTCACTCAAGTTGGAGTGCAGTGGCATGATCATAACTCACTGCAGACTCGAACTCCTAGGCTCCAGTAATCCTTTCACCTCAGCCTCCTGAGTAGCTGAGACTACAGGTGCAAGCTACTATGCCTGGCTTAACAGTTTCTTAAAAAGTTAAAAATACACTTCCCATACCACCCAGCAATCCAGCTCCTAGAAAGAGAAATGAAAGCATATGTCCGCACAAAGACTTGTAAACAGAAGACCATAGTAACTTTATTCATAATAGCCAAAAACTGGAAACATCTCAAATATCCATCAAAACGTGAATGAATAAAGAAACTATATACCTATACAGTGAAATACTACTAAGCAATAAAAGGAATAAGTTAGGCTAGGCGCGGTGGCTCACACCTGTAATCCCAGCATTTTGGGAGGCCGAGGTGGGCGGATCATGAGGTCAGGAGGTCGAGACCATCCTGGCTAACATGGTGAAACCCCATCTCTACTAAAAACACAAAAAATTAGCTGGCCATGGTGATGGGTGCCTGTAATCCCAGCTACTCGGGCGGCTGAAGCAGGAGAATGGCTTGAACCTGGGAGGCGGAGGTTGCAGTGAGCCGAGATTGCACCACTGCACTCCAGCCTGGGCAACAGAGCAAGACTCCGTCTCAAAAACAAAAACAAAAACACACACACACAAAAACAAAAACAAAAGAGGAATAAACTACTGACACAAAACAAATAAATCTCAAAAACTTTATGCTAGTAAAAGAAATCAGATGCAAAAGAGTATGTATATATGATTCTATTTATCTGAAACTTTAGAAAACAAAAACCTAATCTATAGTAACAGAAAGCATGTCAGCAGTTTCCTGAGGTCAGAGTTGGGGAGAATTGACCAGGATGGGGTATAAGGAAGGTTTCTGAGGTAGGAGAAATGTTCTACATCTTAATTCTGGTGATGGTTACGTAAGTGTACACATTTGTCAAAACTCATATAACTGTACAATTAAAATGGGTACAGTTTATTGTATGTAAACTAAATGTCAAGTTGATTTTTTAAAGTTAATTTCTCTTGAAATTAATAAAGAATTTTTAAAAGGGATGGAATGACAAATAAATATAGCAAAATCCTAGAATGTAGGTGGTATGCTTTGTAAAATTCCTTCAATTTCTCTGTACAGGCTGGGTGTGGTGGCTCATGCCTACAATCCCAACACTTTGAGAGGCCAAGGTGGGAGGACTGCTTGAGCTTAGAAGTTCAAAACCACCTGGGGAAACATAAGGAGACACCATCTCTACAAAAAAAAAAAAAAAAAATATATATATATATATATATATATATATACTTCTTAAAAAAATTAGCCAGGCATGGAGGTGTACGCTTCCAGTCTCAGCTACTCGGGAGGCTGAAGTGGAGGACTGCTTGAACCCGGGAGGTTAAGGCTGTAGTGAGCCATGATCATGCCACTGCACTCCAGCCTGGGCAAGAGAGTGAGACCCTGTCTCAAAAAACAAAACAAAACTCTATATGTTTAAAATTTAAGATGTTAGAAAAATTAAAATGTATAAAGTATACATTAAAAAATCTAAACAGTCAATAGAAAGGGGGAAAATGAAGAAATATGCCAGTTTTAACCAATAGAACAAGGTCCCTTGAGGAGGTAGGAATCTTTTTTCTTTCAATTGCCTTTTCCCCACTACTATCAGAATTACCTTTTTTTTTTTTTGAGATGGAGCCTTACTCTGTTGCCCAGGCTGGAGTGCAGTGGCATGAGCTCCGCTCACTGCAACCTTCGCCTCCCAGGTTCAAGCGATCCTACTCCTCAGCCCCCCCTAGTAGCTGGGATTACAGGCATGGACCACCATGCTTGGCTAATTCTTGTATTTTTAGTAGAGATGGGGTTTCGCCATGTTGGCCAGGCTGGTCTCGAACTCCTGACCTCAGGTGATCCACCCGCCTTGGCCTCCTAAAGTGCTGAGATTACAGGTGTGAGCCACTGCACCCAGCCCAGAATTATCTTTCTAAAACTCAGATCCGAATAGATTACTTCCACAGCGAAAAACCTTCAGAACAAAGTACAAACTCTTGAGCAAAGATACTCCAGGATTTTCCCATGTGGCTCCAACTTACATTTCGAACTTCATCATATTCTAAATCTTCCATGTACTGTGTCCCTGTTCCCTATTCTTTAACTATTTTCATTCATTTATATTCTCTGAACACCCTGGTTCATGCTACATCCCCTCCCTTCTCCACCTATAAAATCTATTTCAAAGCCCAACTCACATTTCACTTCTTGCATAATCTCTTCACCAATTTCCCAAAGCAAACAACACTTTGTCCATATCTCTATTCTAGTACTTATCTCTATAGTTGTTATTTCCGTGTCAGGCTTCCAGGCCAAATATAAGCTCCTGAAGACAGTGCTTATGCCTTTTTTTTAAGACAGTGTCTCGCCCTGTTGCCCAGCTGGAGTACAGTGGTGCAATCAGAGCTCACTGCAGCCTCAACCTCCTGGGCTCAAGTTATCCTCTTGCCTCAGCCTCCTGAGTAAGAAGGACTACAGGCATGCACCACCATACCTGGCTAATTCAAAAACAAAAACAAAAACAAAAACAAAAAAACTTTCGTAGAGACACGGTCTCACTATGTTGCCCAGGCTGGTCTCAAATTCCTGGGCTCAAGCAATCCTCTTGCCTTGGCGTCTCAAAGTGCTGGGATTACAGGCATGAGCCACCATTCCCACCCTTTCATTTATTTTTGCATCACCAAATCTTGTTAGGTGTCTGAATGTGATAAGGAAATTTTTATTGAATTAATAAATGAGTAAATGAATGACTAAAGAAATTGTAAGGTAAGACAATGAGTTTTACTGAAATGATATTTTAAATAAGAAATTCTATTTAAGCATTTACTTTTTAGAATGGAAAGATCCTAATGTTACAAAAAAATTCAAAACGCATTAATAAAAACAGAATTACCGCTTACCTCTGTATATTCATCAAAAGTATGATCTTCTGTCTGAAAAGTCTCTATATTCTCAACTGCAGTCCCATCAAGGAGCCAATTATATTTTTCAACTGAAAATTAATAATCTAATTAAAATCTCAATAATACCCTTTTTAGAAGATAAAACACTTTTTTTATATGATCATGGAATGGGGACCTACTCAATTAAATATTATTATTAATAGAGTATTAACATACATGATTTACTATATTTTAAGAAAATGGGTAGAATAAAAGGAAACCAAGTTAAACAGACATTTTAAAACAAAGGTATTAGAGTATTTGAGGCTTTTAAGAATAACTTAGGGGTACATATACACCAATTAATAGAAGATATTGGTTAATAGAATGTCAAAGAATAACCATACATCCTGACCTCACACACACTTGAGAAGACTACAGACCAATAAAATTGAGCTACAGGCTCTTTGAAACTATTCTCAGAAACTACCTTGCTTTTACCCTTGAATTATTCCCAACATTTCTTCTCTCTGCCTTTGACTTTATCACCCTGCTCCAGTTCATATGCACCCTTTGGACTGGACAACAAAATGTATTGGGTTTGATTCTTTTTTTTTTTTTTGAGACGGAGTCTCGCTCTATCGCCCAGGCTGGAGAGCAGTGGCGCGATCTCGGCTCACTGCAAGCTCCGCCTCCTGGGTTCACGCCATTCTCCTGCCTCAGCCTCCCGAGTAGCCGGGACTACAGGCGCCCGCCACGACGCCCGGCTAATTTTTTGTATTTTTTAGTAGAGACGGGGTTTCACCGTGTTAGCCAGGATGGTCTCGATCTCCTGACCTTGTGATCCGCCCGCCTCGGCCTCCCTGGGTTGGATTCTTGACTCTGCCAAAAGCTACGCCTATGCTCACTTCTGGCTCTCCCTGTTCTTTCATGGCAGCCCCAGACAAACAAACATCTGACCAAATTCTAGCACAAATAAAGTGATGACAAATGGTATAATATTATGTATGTCATACACACCATATGTCTCATAATGCTTTCTTGCACCTTCTAAGTTCCGATGTACTGCTGCCTTCAGTGTATCAACAGCCCAGTGTAACACGTGTTCAGGAAGTTCTGTGTCAAGATTTACTGGTGTTGAAGTTCCTGATAGCCAAGAGGGGATTGTTTGGACATTCTAACACAAATAAAAATAATAACAATGTATACAATAAATATCTAACTGTATAATTAATCTATATGTAGATCTTTTTTTTTTTCCTTTGGAGACGGAGTCTTGCTCTATCACCCAGGTTGGAGCGCATTGGTGCGATCTCGGCTCACTGCAACCTCCGCCTCCCAGGTTCAAGCGATTCTCCTGCCTCAGCCTCCTGAGTAGCTAGGATTACAGGCGCACGCCACCACGCCCAGCTAATTTTTGTATTTTTAGAGACGGGGTTTCACCATGTTGGTCAGGCTGGTCTCGAACTCCTGACCTCGTGATCCGCCCACCTCAGCCTCCCAAAGTCCTGGGATTACAGGCGTGAGCCATCATGCCTGGCCTATTTTTTGTATTTTAGTAGAGATGGGGTTTCACAGTGTTGGTAAGGCTGGTCTCGAACTCCTGAGCTCAGGCAATCCGCCCGCCTCATCCTCCCAAAGTGTTAGGATTACAGGCGTGAGCCATTGCGCCTGGCCTATATGTAGATCTTATACTATATTTTAAAACATTCTTTTCAGATTTCAATGGCCCAAGAAAAAATAACTTGACATAAAATAATAATTTAAAATTGTATAGTTTGTAGTCTAACATAAAACAAGTTGGGCCAGGTGCAGTAGCACATGCCTATTGTCCCAGCTACTTGGGAAGCTGAGGCAAGAAGATCACTTGAGCCCAGGAGTTCGAGGCAGCAGTGTGCTATGATCATGTCTGTGAATAGCCACTGCATTTCAGCCTAGGTAACACAGTGAGACCCTGTCTCAAACAAAACAAAACAAAACAAAGAAAACCTTAAGTTGGGTTAGTTTTCTATCATCCAACAAATATTTATTGACTAATTATTTACTGACAAATAAATATTTGTCAAATATTTATTTATTTATTTATTATTGGTTTTTTTTTTTTTGAGACGGAGTCTCACTGTGTCACTAGGCTGGAGTGCAGTGGGGTGATCTTGGCTCACTGCAACCTCCGACTCCCTGGTTCAAGGGGTTTTCCTGCCTCAACCTCCTGAGTAGCTGGGAGTACAGGCACGCGCCACCATGCCCAGCTAATTTTTGTATTTTTAGCAGAGATGAGGTTTCACCATGTTGGCCAGGATGGTCTTGATCTCCTGACCTTGTGTTCCGCCTGCCTCGGCCTCCTAAAGTGCTGGGATTACAGGCGTGAGGCACTGCGCCCGGCTGACAAATATTTATTGACAAAGTAATTATGCCAGAAAGCTCTAGAAAGAACAAATATCAATTAGATCTTGTTCTTAAGAAGCTCACAACTCAGAGGAGATGAGACATGCAAATAAAAAAATCAATTCATAGCTACAAGAAAAGTTCTAAGAAGGAAAATGTCATCTCCAGCCTTCAAGCGACTTTTTCAAAGAGAAAGCAATTTCTAATTTGAAATAATTGGGGGAGGAAAATAACAGAAAGAGTCATAACATTGTATGTACACATACACTGCATAGAGATTCAATTCAAATAATTTAAAATTCTTTCCCGATGGGTAAAGATGTAATACCTGCAGAGCTTCGGCTATTCGTTCCACCAAACTCAAGACATTATCTTCCAAATCTTGAAAGGTAGGATAAAATTCCATTTTGTCGTCATCAAATGTCAATTCTATCTTAAATATTGGCAGCCTTTGTTGATCTTTTGGGTCAAAGAGTTTTACAAATCCTTCTACAGTTCTCCTTAATAGATCCTTTAGCTGCGTGATATAAATCACTGTTACTTTAGAGAGTACAAATTCAACCTTTAACTAAAATCAGTAAACTGATTATAATTGTCTATATCTGATTATAATTGTCTATAATTAAAACATCCTATCAATCCATTTAATTGAAAATTATCTTCATTCAGCATACTATATATATGTGTGTATACATACATGCACACACACACACACACATATATATATACATATTTTTTTTTAAGACAGTGTCTCACTCTGTTGCCCAGACTGCAGTGCAGTGGTGCCATCATAGCTCACTGTAACCTTGAACTCCTGGGCTCAGGCAATCCTCCTGTTTCAGCCTCCTGAGTAGCTGGGACTACGGCGCGTGCCACCACACCCAGCTAATCAGCATGATATGTTCTTATTAATTTTTAATATTTGTGGGTACATAATAGGTGTATATAAGGGTTACATGAGATATTCTGATACAGGAATGTAATGTGCAATAGTCACATCAGGGTAAATGGGATTTCCATCACTTCAAGTATTTATCCTTTGTGTTACAAACAATCTAATTATACTCTTTTAGTTATTTTTAAAGGGATGATTAAATTATGTTTTGCTGTAGTTACCCAGTTGTGCTAGCAAATACTAGGTCTTATTCATTCATTCTTTTTTCTTTTCTTTTTTTCTCTCTTTTTTTTTCTTTTTTCTTTTTGTTTGTTTTGTTTGCTTTTTGTTTTTGAGACAGCATTGCCCAGGTTGGAGTGCAGTGGCAAGACCTCGATTCACTGCAACCTCTGCCTGCTGGGCTCAGGCCATCCTCCCACCTCAGCCTCCTGAGTAGCTGGAACTACATTCACAAGCTACCACGCCTGGCTAATTTTTGTATTTTTTGTAGAGACAGGGTTTTGTCACGTTGCTCATGGCTGGTCTCAAACTCCTGAGCTCAAGTGACCCGCCTGCTTTGGCCTCTCACAGTGCTGGGATTACAGGCGTGAGCCACCACACTCAGCTTATCCATTCTTTCCAACTTTTTTGTACCCATTAAACATCTCCACTTACCACACCCCCCACCCCCCGCCCACTTCTCCCACTACCTTTCCCAGCCTCTGGTAACCATCCTTCTACTCTTTATCTCCATTAGTTCAACTGTTTTAATTTTTAGCTCCCACAAATAAGTGAGAACACACATTAACAAAGGTAACCTAAAACAATAAATAGAACATTATATGCAAACCCTAATTTTGTTTTTGGTTTTGGTTTTTTGGTTTTTGTTTTTGTTTTGAGACAGAGTCTCACTCTGTCGGTCAGGCTGGAGTGCAATGGCACGATCTTGACTCACTGCAACCTCTGTCTCCCGGGTTCAAGCAATTCTCCTGCCTCAGCCCCCTGAGTAGCTGGGATTACAGGTGCCTGCCACCACGCCTGCCTAATTTTTGTAGTTTTAGTAGAGACAGGGTTTCACCATGTTGGCCAGGCTGGTCTCGAACTCCTGACCTCAGGTAATCCACCCACCTTGGCCTCCCAAAGTGCTGGGATTACAGATGTGAGCCACTGCGCCGAGCCTGTTTCTGTTTTTTAAGACTGGGTCTTGCTCTGTTGCCCAGGCTGGAGTGCAGTGGCACAATCATAGTTCACAGCAGGCTCGAGCTCCTGGGATCCTGGGCTCAAGCAATCCTCCCACCTCAGCCTCCTGAGTAGCTGGGACAATAGGCATGAGCCACCATTCCTGGCTAATTTTTAATTTTTTTTCTAGAGACAGTGTCTCACTTTGTTTCCCAAGCTGGTCTTGAACTCCTGGGCTCAAGTGATCCTCCCACCTCAGCCACCCAAAGTGCTGAGATTACAGGCGTGAGCCACCACACCCAGCCAAACCTTAATTTTTTAATAGAATATCAACAATCTTAAAATGGTGACTCAGAACTTTTCACATTCTTTAGTAATTCTGTCCCTGGTACAGAAAATGTTCCAGAAGATCAAACAACATGGTAAAGACTGAAGGGAGGGGAGGTCTGACAGCCAGAGGTAAGTGTGTAATGGGGGGACATGCACATGGAGTGAGGTACAGTGAAATGCTAGAACTAGCTCCTGTTCTCTCAAGAGCCAATTGTTAAATACTCAAGAATTTTGTGAGCCAGTTGCTAAACTCTTAGAAGCTCGAAATTTACCACTGTGGGAATATTTACACCACAGAAGTCGACAAACACTACAAATCAGGGTAATTATCTTTTTCTTTTATTTGTTTATTCATTTATTTATTTATTTACTTATTTATTTATTATCTTGAGACAGAGTCTCACTCTGTTGCCCAGGCTGGAATGCAGTGGCACAATCTGGGCTCACCACAACCTCCGCCTCTCGGTCTCAAACTATTCTCGTGCCTCAGCCTCCTGAGTGGCTGAGATTACAAGCATATGCCACCACACCTGGCTAATTTTTGTATTTTTAGTAGAGAGGAGGTTTTGCCATGTTGGCCAGGCTGGTCTTGAACTCCTGAGCTCAAGTGATCCACCTGCCTGGGCCTCCCAAAGTGCTGGTATTAGAGGTGTGAGACACCGTGCCCAGCCTCAGGGTGATTTTCTTTCCTGGAGAGCCATATTTCTAGCACACTACTGGGTGAAGGTAAAGCCACTGGAACTTAGAAACATGCACAAGGAGCTTCTAAAGTACGAATAATGGTTTCTTATAGAGAACCAACTGTTGGGAATTTAGCCCAGCAAACAAACATGGTTCTAAATGATCTTCAAGACATTCCTCATCTCTTTACTTTTATTAAATAATCACAGTCCTCTTAAGAGGGTAAAGGTAGAAAGGAAACCATGTGTATTAGTTACAGCATTACATACTAGATATTAAATATGTATATTATCCTTTTAAATATGCTAGACAAAATTCATGGAATTGTTGGAGGTCTTTACTGAAAGGGAAAGTTTTTCTTCAAAACTATTTTTCTAGAATTGTATATCTTCAACAGTAAAAATTTGAGGAGGCCATAAATATAATTTCATAAAATTAAAAATTCCCTATTTGTCATTTAAAGATGATCAATAACTTTAAAAATTTTTTCCACCAGATACCTCTTATACAATGATCAATAACATTTTAAACCAAGATTTTACTGAGAACAAAATGAGAATCAATCAACTTGGAATCTAATAAATTCAAAAATATGTTACTAGAATAGTTCTTTTGTTAACATACTCCAAATAAAGCTATAATTAACTTATATATCCTTTAGGCATGAGCCAAGTAATTACTCATAATACTAATATATACTTCTAGATTTCCTTTCATTTTAGATAGTTTCAGAAACACAATATTTTTCTGCTAAAATTATTAAAATAAAATTACAGTAGAAATATTTTATTTCAAAATAATTACTTAGCACTATGTTTACGTAGAATTCTATTTAAAATATTGAACTAATTTTAATAACATTATCATTTAATATATATAAAGTGTATGTACCTGATTTGACATAAGTGTGGAAACACAGCTATAAAATGCATCCAATTTTTCAGGTTTAACACCTTCTAGTGCCTCCTTCTTGGTAAAGAGATTTATAACCTTTGGATACCATGTATTCATTATCTTCTCTTCTGCGTTTCTAGTTTGTATTGATAGATCAGTTTTCAGTGATTCACAGTCAATTGGACCTTTAGCTCTATTTATGAGAAAAAGAAATGTGATTTGAAGCAAATGATACATATTGGTCTTAAAACACAATTGTTGGGCCGGGCTCGGTGGTTCACACCTGTAATCTCAGCACTTTGGGAGGCTGAGGCAGGCAGATCACGAGGTCAGGAGTTCAAGACCAACCTGGCCAACATGGTAAAACCCCATCTCTACTAAAAATACAAAAATTAGCTGGGTGTGGTGGTGTATGCCTGTAATCCCAGCTACTCGGAAGGCTGAGGCAGGATAATTGCTTGAACCAGGGAGACAAAGCTTGCAGTGAGCCAAGATCGCACCATTGCACTCCAGCCTGGATGACAGAGCAAGACTCCATCACGGGAAAAAAAAAACAAAAAAAAAAAAAACCAAAAAAAACCCACACAATTGTTGAAACAAACAAGATACATTTTTTTAAACTCTAAAATCTAGAGAAAAGTGTTGAAGATTTAGGATTCCATTTTAAAAATTATACAGTCAAAAATATAGACTCAAGCAAGGAGACATTCAAATTTTAAATTAAACGGGATTTTACCTAATTCCTGTGAAGTCCAACAAAACTGTATCAGCAAATGTTGTATAACCAAGGTCCAGTAACATTTTCATAGTTGGATGAATAATGTGCAAATTAGAGAATATTTGATTTCTTGCCTGCACATAGCTAGAATGCCAAGGATTAGAATAATCTAGGCCTCTGGAAAAGCAAAACACCATATCAAACATGATGAAAATAATACACCCTAAACTTTAGGAAATAATGCTTATAACATGAAATTAGTATTGAAGTGAGAAAACTGGGGCTTGAGAAGAGGGAGCTGTGGTCAGCAATGGGAACCTTAAGATATATGCATTTAATAAAAACACATCAAGAACTCAAAACTGCATTATCTTCAGAGAGAACAGAAATAATTTGTGAGTAAGGCAGAGTGATGGGCCAGATCTGAGAGCTCTGCTAACTTCCACTGTGCTTTGGCTCAGTTATCCTGGTAAAAATGAAAGAACACAGTCTTTAGGACTAAAGAAAAGCGCTGGAGAAATCTGTCTGCCATACCCCAAAGCTTACTCAAGGCTAAGTTAAGCTATGCATTCATAAAGATCTCCCCAGTTATGTATGCAGAACTAAATGAGCATAGTAGAGAGAATACCTCTGAGGTAAAAACAAGAGTACTTTTTTTTTAGATGTGTTCAAAATACCTTTGAGCATCACAATTGTATACTTGAAGGTAAGATCAGTTTATTTTTTATCTATATCAAAAATTGGATGAAGTACTGTTTTTAAAATAATTTACTCACACAGGAGATTCAGGTAAAGGACCTCCTTCATCTTCAAGCGATTTAACTGGTGGTTTCACAAGAACGCTCTGCACTAAAATACATGGATATATTAATGCTTCTTGAAAATCTCTGCACAATCTATTAATATCAAAGTTTCTAACTTTTGATTTTGGATGGTATAGTTTACTGTGCATTAAAAGGAATGTAAGAAAAAACTCCTTTATTTGAAACAAAATCAAGTTCTTGGTAGTATTTTGGCCTTACTTGAGAGTTCAGATAACGAAAAGCTTTAATAAGATCTCAGTTTTTCACATTCCATCTACTCAAAAGTCACTAGCATGGCCACTTAAAAAAATGCATTTCATGGTGGCTACCAGGGGCTGGGAGGATGTTGGTCACAGGCTACAAAATTTCAGTTAGATAGGAGGGAACAAGTTCAAGAGATTACGCGACATGGAGGCCGAGCGCGGTGGCTCATGCCTGTAATTCCAGCACTTTGAGAAGCCAAGGAGGGCAGATCACCTGAGGTCAGGAGTTTGAGACCAGGCTAGCCAACATGGTGAAACCCCATCTCTACTAAAAATACAAAAATTAGCTGGGCATGGTGGCAGGCGCCTGTAGTCCCAGCTACTTGGGAGGCTGAGGCAAGAGAATCGCTTGAACCTGGGAGGTGGAGGTTGCAGTGAGCTGAGATTGCACCACTGCACTCTATTCTGGGCGACAGAGTGAGACTCCATCATAAAAAAAAAAAAAAAAAAAAAAAAAAAAAGAAAGCAATTATACAACATAGTGACTAGTTAGTAACAATTTATTGTACCCTTGAAAATTGTCAAGAGTAGATTTTATGTTCCCACCACACACAAAAAATGATAAATATGTGAAAAAAATGCATCAGTTAATTAGCTCAATTTAGCTATTCCACACATATTTCAAAACGTATTGTACATGATAATTATATACAATTTTTATTTGTCAATTTTTAAAAAGGAAAAAAGTTTATTCTAAAAAATAGCAAAGATTATACCCCTAATAAATCTCCCAAAACATATTAGTATTTTCTAGCAAACCTATAAATAGTATAGCTAAAATCATAAAGACAAAGTAAAAAATCAAAGAGAAGTTAGCTAATAAAAAAAATACAAAAAGTACCCTTAAATTGTAAGGATTTTGACTTAAGTATAGACTCAAAATAAAAACTTTAAATAAAAATCGTATCTAAGAAATACATATAGTTAAGGCTGGGCTGAGTGGCTCAGCGTGTAATCCCAGCACTTTGGGAGGCTGAGGTGGGTGGATGGCTTGAGCCCAGGAGTTTTAGACCAGCTTGGTCAACATGGTGAAACTACATCTCTACCAAAAAATAAAAAAATTAGCTGGGCATAGTGGTGTGTGCCTGAAGTTCCAGGTACTCGGGAGGCTGAGGTAGGGGAATCGCTTCAACTCAGCAGGCGGAGGCTGCAGTGAGCCGAAATAGCACCACTGCACTCCAGCCTGGGCGACAGAGATCATGTCTCGAAGAAAAAAAATAAAAAGAAAAGAAGAAAAAAACCAGATATAGTTTAAATACATAGTGTTCATTACTCATTTTGCTTATTTCTATTTTTGATTCAGTGGGGACGGGGGGAGGCCAAGGTGAAAGAAGCCTGGTGTGTGTTAGATGCTACTTACCCAAATATCTCTTCATGCTGTTTTCAAAGTCACTTGACACCTCATTTATGAGACTTTCAAGAAGTTCTTCTCTTTCTTTCCCTTCCTTTAAAGACTCAGGTATCAGCCTTAACATGTGATCCAGCCATTCCTGCTGAATAGGTACTAAAGGACTACTTTCTACACATTGCTTCATATAAATATAGTTGAACTGAGAACATAAGAAAAAATTAAATGTTCTGCATGGTTGTATCATTTCAGTGTAACTCCTGAACTCTCCCTTCCTAAGACAACATTTTTTCAGATTAAAAATATTCTGAAAAATAACATTTTCAGAATAAAAACCATTTAATCCAAAAGTACATCCCACAAAGAAACCATTTTATCTTTTTCTTTATTTATGATGAATTCTTGCCAAATTAATATTCTTAGTATGGTTTTCATTTTCTCAAGGCAAAATGAAGATTCTTTACCTAACTTATTATTCCTTATTATCTAACTTATTATTATAATATATCCACCGATTCAACAAATATTCAGACATTGTTCTAAATGCTGGGTATATAGTAGCTGAACAAAACAGACAAAGCCCATGCTCTCTTGAGATTATATTCCAGTACAATAGTAGTATAATATAATTTCATAAATTCTCCCATAAGAATGAATAGTCTCACTAAAAATAGACACGAATGAATGAAAAGACACTTGATCTTAGTAAAGACATTTTAACATCATGAAAATTTCACTTTTCCCAAAATTGATTTAACACAATACCAATAAAATTATCTACATACATTTTTATGGAATTAGATAAGTTGATCCTAAAGTTCATGTGGAAAAATAAACATGCAAGAATAGCCAAGAAAACCCTGAGAAAGAAAATCTGCAATGGAGGGCTAGCCCTAGGAGACATTAGAACATACCAGAAAGCCTGGTGTAGCACAGGTGTATGGATAGACAGACCAGTAGAAAACAACAGAAAGTCCAAAAATACACCAGTATATCAGAAAATTTAGCATATGATAAACATGGCATCTCAAATCACTGGGAAAAATATGAAGGTTTTAATAACTATTTCTGGAACAACTGGTTAGCCATTTGGAAAAAGATAAAATAATTCATACCTTCCACCATACATAAGAACAAACTCCAGGATTTAACTTAAACAATGAAACTATACAAGGATCAGGAAGAAAAACATAGATGAAGTCTTTTATAACTTGAGTATAGGAAAAACCTTCCTAGCTATGATTCAAATACTAGATACAAAAAAGGAAACAAGTAATAGATTAATTTTTACTACATAAAAACATAAATGTTTGCATAACAAAAACAATTTAAAATGTCAAAAGACAATTGACAATCTGGCAGAAAATATTTGCAACATACATCTCAGACAAAGTGTAAAGAATGCTTTAAAATTTAGGGGATGGGTGAACCTTAAGGACATTATGCTAAGTGAAATAAGCCAATCACAAGAAAACAAGTATTGCATTATTCCACTTATATAAAGTAAATAGAGCAGTTAAATTTATAGAAACAGAAAACAAAATAGTAGTTGCCAGGGGCTACAGGGAAGAGGAAATGAGGAGTTGTTATTTAATAAGTATAGAGTTTCAGTTTTGAAGATGAAAATGTTCTGGAGATTCGCTGCACAAGAATGTGAAAATACTACTAAACAGTGCTTGCTTTGGCAGCACATATACTAAAATTGGAATGATACAGAGAAGATCAGCATGGCCCCTGTGCAAGGATGGACACAAATTCGTGAAGCATTCCATATTTTTGAAACAGTAGATGCTGGCGAGGCTGTGGAGAAATAGGAACACTTTTACGCTGTTGGTGGGAATGTAAATTAGTTCAACCATTGTGGAAGACAGTATGGCGATTCTTCAAGTATCTAGAACCAGAAATACCTTTTGACCCAGCAATCCCATTACTGGGAATACACCCAAAGAAATATAAATTATTCTACTATAAAGACACATGCACACATATGTTTACTGCAGCACTACTTATAATAGCAAAGTCATGGAACCAACCCAAATGCCCATCAATGATAGACTGGATAAATAAAATGTGGTACATGGCCAGGCATGGTGGCTCACACCTGTAATCCCAACACTTTGGGAGGCCGAGGCGGGTGGATCATGAAGTCAGGAGTTCAAGACCAGCCTGGTCAAGATGGTGAAACCCCGTCTCTACTAAAAATACAAAAAAATTAGCCAGGCGTGGTGGCAGGCACCTGTAATTCCAGCTACTTGGGAGGCTGAGGCAGAGAATTGCTTGAATCCAGGAAGCGGAGATTGCAGTGAGCCGAGATCGCACCACTGCACTCCAGCCTGGCAACAGAGTGAGACTTCATCTCAAAAAAAAAAAAAAATGTGGTACATATACACCATGGAATACTACACAGGCATAAAAAGGAATGAGATCATGTCCTTTGCAGGGACATAGATGAAGCTGGAAGCCATCATCCTCAGCAAACTAACATAGAAATGGAAAACCAAACACCGCATGTTCTCACTCATAAGTGGGAGGTGAACAATGAGAACACATGGACACAGGGAAGGGAGTAACACAAAACAAAGCCCACTGGGGGATGGAGGGCAAGGAGAGGGATCCTAGAGAGTGGGTCAATAGGTGCAGCAAACCACCATGGCACACGTATACCTATGTAACAAACCTGCACGTTCTGCACATGTATCCCGGAACATAAAGTAAAATTTAAAAACTTATAATAAAAAAAATACTACTAAACTGTACCCTTAAAAATGGTTAAGATGGTTTTATGTTATGTGTATTTTATCACAATTTATAAACATTTAGGGGGAAATAACATCAAAACTACAACAGAAAAATGGGCAGAAGATATAAACTAACATTTCACAATAAAAATATAATTAAAATGGCACTTAAACCATATTTTAAACGTATAATCTTATTCATAATTACAGAAAGCAAATTTAAACTACCCTGAGATACCATCTGTCACATATCAGATTGACAAAAATTTTTTTTTAAATATGACCCCCACATTCTTTTGTGAAACTATGGGGAAGCAAACACTCTCATAAATTGCTAGCACATTTTGGAAAGAAATTTTGCAATATCTAATAAGACTACATATTGAAGTCCCACTTAGAGAAATTAAAACAATACCTCCAGCAGTATGAAAGCATACATATACAAGGTATTCATTGCAGCAAAATACTGGAAACATTTAAGAGTGGCTGATGCATACATTCGTGTTCTGTGCAGCAATAGTGAAAAATGAGAAAGATCTCTAAAAACTGATATGGAGCGATTTCTAGGATACATTATTAAGTTAAAAACAAAATGCGGCCGGGTGCAGTGGCTCACGCCTGTAATCCCAGCACTTTGGGAGGCTGAGGCGGGCGGATCACCTGAGATCAGGAGTTTGAAACCAGCCTGGCCAACATGGTGAAACCCCGTCTCTACTAAAAATACAAAAATTAGCTGGACATGGTGGGGGGAACCTGTAATTCCAGCTACTTGGGAGGCTGAGGCAGGAGAATCGCTTGAACCCGGGAGGCAGAGGTTGCAGTGAGCCGAGATTGTGCCACTGTACTCCAGCCTCGGTGACAGAGTAAGACTCTGTCTCAAAAAAAAAAAAAAGAAAAATAAATAAACAAAAAAAAGCAAAATGCAAGAGTATCTACAGTATGACGCATTTTGTGTAAGAAAACATACCTGTTCATTTTTTAAAAAAATTAAACACAGGAAGGATAAATCAAAAATTAATGAGATTGGTTATATGAAAGAGTAGCTTGGAACAGACAGAAAGTATGGGGGCATGGGAACAGGGTGGAAGGGATGGGAGATGCTTCTCTGAGGTGTACTTTTGGTATAGTTCTGATTTTAAACCTTGCTGTTGTTTTACCTGCTCAAAGTATAAGTAAAAAATATCATCATGAATGAGGGAGAAAAGAAACTCCAAATGAAAACAAACAAACCAATGAACCTACCTGAATTTCAAGTTATTAATAATTACCTAGCTGAAAATGTATTAATAATTACCTATTGAAAAGGAGTGTAGAACTAACCAATACTGAACACAATATTTTAACCATATATCCTTATGCTAAGTACAAAAGACTATAGGTGAATATTAAACTATGGTGAGGTTTGTTTTTCACAGTAGTATGAGTTAGCAATTTTGAAATTATTTATGTATACTCTAGGATTTAACAAAATAAGTAAACCTTGTGGCTAATGGATGAAAGCCAGATTCCTCACTAATAGAGAAGGAAGCTATGCATAGAGAAAGGGGGACAGGCTAGAATAAACCCTGGGATGTTACTGGAATAGGAGGTATCAGTATGAATCCATGGGTTTTGAGAGAGAGAGAGAGAAATAATTATTTTCTAGATCTTCTGCTGAGAAAGCCAGGAAGCAATGACACTCAGTATCAAGGAGCACATTTAACACACATATCATGGTTTTTAAATACCATTCTCCACTAAAAGGAGCCAAAAATCCCTGGAGAAATGACTGATTACAGGGCTAGAATAGAAAAAGTATATATAGCATGATCCTGGAACATCTTATTGTGCCAGAAAGTAAGGATGTGCTCAAAGAATGATGGGATATGTAAAAAAAAGACGAAAGAGTCAACTTTAAGGGCTCCCACTGGCCAAATGTGGAACAACTGAACTTCAAATTAATAATAAAGCCAGGCCTTGTGGCGCATGCCTGTAATCCCAGCTACTCAGGAGGCTGGGGTGGGAGGATGGCTTGAGCCCAGGAGTTCAAGGCTTCAGTGAGCCATGATCACAACACTGCTCTCCAGCCTGGGCGACAGAGCAAAACCCCATCTCTACAAAATAATTATTATTAATAATAATAATACATTATAACTTAATAGTTAAAGTAAAAATCTATAGTCCACACTGATCTAAATGAATGAATAAGCGAAGAAAAATATTAAAAGTTCTTTCTTACTACAGAATTCCAACAAAAAATGTAAAAGAAATGATAGAAAAATTACTATTTGGCAACAACCATAGTAATCATTGTTACAGGCAAAGATGTTAACATTATGGGAACACATAAAGCATACAGGGGAATTCTTTGTACTCTTTTTTGCAACTTTTCCGTATGTCTAAAATTATTTTGAGATAAAAAGATTTTTTAAATGTGTAGCCTAGATGGACATTTTTTCTTTTGTCTCTTACTTTTATTTTTTTTCAATTAGTTGCTCACTCCAAAATTCTTACAGAAAGACATTTTCTATGTCCACTCCATTAATGTACTGCTTAGTCTTTTTTTTTTTTTTTTTTTTTTTTTCTTCAGATGGAGTCTCCCTCCGTCGCCCAGGCTGGAGTGCAATGGCATGATCTTGACTCACTGAAACCTCCACCTCTTGGGTTCAAGTGATGTTCCTGCCTCAGCCTCCTGAGTAGCTGGGATTACAGGCGTGGGCCACCATGCCCGGCTAATTTTTTTCTTTTTAGTAGAGATGGGGTTTCACCATGTTGGTCAGGCTGGTCTCGAACTCCTGACCTTGTGATCCATCCGACTCGGCCTCCCAAAGTGCTGGGATTACAGGCATGAGCCACCATGCCCGGCCCATGTACTGCCTAATCTTAAAATTCTTGTGTGATAGTCCCCAGTCCCTCACTATATCAATGGGCTGACCTCTGTCTAGCAATGAAATTGGTCCTCTCCCTACTCCAGCTCTTCCCTCCTCTCTAGATGATCTTAATAATAAGTGTCGCCAATTACCCTGCAAAATCAGACCAAAGCCTAAGAATCATCCTTGGTTCCTCTTTTTCTCACTGCCCACATGCACCCTACCTGCAAGTCCTGTCGCATTTACATCCAAAATATGTCCTGAATCTAACAATTTCTCTCTAGCTCTATTGCTATCACTCTAGTCTAAACTATTCTCTCTCACCTAGACTGTTATCTTGTACAACTACCTGGTTCTTCCTTTATACTTTTGCCGTAGCCACAATCCATCTTCTAAAGAATCTAAGTGGCCTTTTTCATATAATTGTCAAAGTGACTTTTTATCATTAAAAGTAAATCAAGTTATGTTATCCCCATGGGTAGAATCCTCCAATGACTTCCAATTGCCACTCTGAGTAAAATCCAAGCAACTTATCATAGCCTACAAGGCCCTCATCTCTGGCTCCTGACCCCCTTTTCAAGTTTATTTTATACTTTCCCATGAGCTCAATCAGCAGCTGGCCTTCTTTCAGTTCCTGGAACATACCCAGTTGTTTTCTCCTTCAGGTGACTTAAACTTAGCTGTTCCCTCTGTTGGGAAATTCTCAACCCCAGGTCTTTCCACGGCTGGCTCCTTTCTACCATTCAGGTCTCCATAAATGTCACCACCTCAGGGACGCCTTCTCTAACCACATGCCTAATATGGCCCCACTCCCTCACCAGTCACTATCTACCATATTACCCTGTATTTCCTTCACAGTACTTATCACAATTTTATTTATTAAATGAAATAGAAAAATTTTATTTAATTATTATATGTCTTCCTCATTAAAGTATAAGCTTCATAAGGGCTTATATGTCCATCTTGTCCATCAATCTTCAGCATCTAGCACAGGATCAAGTATGCATAGATATTTGTTAAGAATCTCATGAATAAATAAATTATACAGACAAAGATGATATTTTCTCAATACCCCAAACCTATAGCAGTTCTAGAAAGCAGGTCAGGGTCAAGCACTGAAATATTAGATAGAAAACTAAGCTTGAATAAAATTATTATATGACTATATAGTGAAAGGAAATTTATTGAATGTGGTTTTTGTTGCAGAAAAAAAGAAAGAAAAAATGAAATTTAAATTCATTATTCTAATTATGTATCTATAACTTATACCTTTCTAAAACCATTTCATCTCCTAAAATAAAAATATGTTTGACCCTTAGAATTAAAGTATATAATCTTCCTTAGCAAAACACTATCTAAGTCAAGTGATGTACTTTCAAAATTTTTCTTGAAAACTCCCTGGCCCAGCACGGTGGCTCATGCCTGTAATCCCAGCACTTTGCGAGGTAGAAGCAGGTGGATCCCTTTCAGCTCAGGAGTGAGAGACCAGTCTGGGCAACATGGGGAAACCCCACCTCTACAATAAATAAATAAATAAAAATTATCCAAGCGTGGTGCCTCACATCTGTAGTCCCAGCTCCTCGGGAGGCTGAGGCTAAGAGATTGCTTGAGCCTGGAAAGCAGATGTTGCAGTAAGCCAAGATCACTCCCCTGCACACCAGCCTGGGTGACAGAGTGAGAAACTGTCTCAAAAAACAGAAAACATAAAAAAAAAAACTTTCTATATTATGCCCTCACTGTAGTCTCTTCACACTTCTATTATAACAGCTGTTACATTTTACTGAACATGTGTTTTTATATTTATTCATTCATCAATCATTCATTAAGTAACTATTTTTAGTGCTCGATATCATAGTAGTTGATTAAGAAGCAATTCCTGGCCGGGCACGGTGGCTCACACCTGTAACCCCAGCACTTTGGGAAGCTGAAGCAGGTGGATCACTGGAGGTCAGGAGTTTGAGACCAGCTTGGCCAACATGGTGAAACCCTGTCTCTACTAAAAATATAAAAAATTAGCCAGGCATGGTGGCATGTGCCTGTAATCCCAGCTATTTGGGAGCCTGAGGCACAAGAATTGCTTGAAGCCGGGAGGTGGAGGGTGCAGTGAGCTTAGGTTGCCCCACTGGATTCCAGCCTGGGTGACAGAGCAAGACTACTCTGTCTCAAAAAAAAGAAAAGAAAAGAAAAGAAAGAAAGAAAAGCTGCTGTTGGCTGCTGTGGTCAAGATAAGAGATGAAGCTCTGATCTAAGGCTAGGACAAGAAAATGACTGTTTTGAGAACTATATAGAGCTCTTGGGAACTAAGCATATGGGAGGGAGGTAGTTGGGGAAGGGGAACAAGAAGTTCAGATTCAGATATTTTAAGCATGAGTAACCGGATTGATGGTGATAACAACTAGAATAGAAAATGTGCAAGAGGAGTCTTATGGAGGAAGCTTGTGGTCTCATTTTTTTGACACGTTGATTCTGAGGTATTTGTGCAAAAAAGTCTCTGGGAGTCATCAATATATGAAAGGTAGCTGAAATCAGAAAAGGAGAGAATCATCCATGGAGATTCAAGGAAAGAGAAGAGTGGCTACAGCCAGTCAAGAAAGAGGAACCTGTGGAGATGACAGAGAAATAATAGAGAACCAGATGAATAAACATAAAGGAATGTTAGAAAGGAAATAAATGGTCAGTGGTGTCAAAAGTCAGCTGAAATTGTCACTGATTTTTATTTCAGCCATCCTAATAGGTATGTAGTGAAAACGAATCAAGGTTTTAATTTGTATTACCATAACGGCTAATGATGTTGAACATCTTTCGCGTGCTTATTTGCCATCCGTGTATCCTCTATGGTAAAATGTCTGTTCATATCTTTCTTTTTGGGAGGAGGGGGTTTAAACTGCACTTTATTTGTTACCATAACATTCTTTTTTAACTGATCAACCGTAAGCATGCAAAAAGTTCTCCTCTGAATGAAACTGATTCCACAGCCTGTTGTATAGAAATGGGTAAATTATAAAGGTGATTCAGTTTGGAGTTCTCTCCTTTTTTATAGCACTCCTAAGCTATGTGTGCGACACATACCACAGAGGTAGAAAGGATCATCTTTAATAAATTATCTTCTTAATTGTAGAGAATTTCTGAAAATAAAACTGACAAAATGCTAAACCAAGCCTTTGATGTGTCCCAAAGGACCACAGATCCATCGACTCCTATTTGAAGAAGTAATCCCCTGGAGTGTTCTAGCCTTTGAAGGGCACTTGATAACAAGATCCACCAAGGCTCTGAACAACTGCACTAAGAAGCCTTCTAACCGCTCTCATTTGCCGATTCTTTGGGCCACCCAGTCCTGCTGGCAGAGAGGGCAGCGATTGTTCTGTTTCACCCACAGGGACATGCAGCAGTTGCGGAAGGAATGATTACATTCTCCCAAGACCACAACACAGTCCTCTTGTTTGTTTTCAGCTTGACATCTGAGACAGGCATCCATCACCTGGACTCTGCAGATGGCGCACATATCTCACTCCACGGCCCAGCTCCACATGGCCACCACGTTCCACTTCTTGAGCTAGAACATCTTGTCGCCTCCCGACTTGGAGCCTGCGCTCCTGGAGTGAGAGGTCAGGGCGTAGGGTTCCTCGCCGTCTTCCACGTCGGCCATGGTAGCGCCGCGGAGCCGATGGCCGACGTTGGGTTGGGGAAAGCCGGAGGCTGTGGCGGCTCTGTGGCTACAGCGTTACCTTATCTTTCTTCTACCTATTTTCTTTTCCTTTCTTTTTTGAGACGGAGTTTCGCTCTTGTCGCCCAGACTGGAGTGCAGTGGCGCAATCTCGGCTCACTGCAACGTCTGCCTCCGGAGTTCAAGCGATCTCCTGCCTCAGCACCCCTAGTAGCTGAGATTACAGGTGTGTGCCACCACACTCAGCTAATTTTGTATTTTTAGTAGCGACGGTTTCACCATGTTGGCCAGGCTAGTCTCGAACCGCCCGCCTCGGCCTCCCAAAGTGCTTGGATTACAGGCATGAGCCACTGCGCCTGACCGTTTTTACCCATTTTCTTTTCCTTTTTATTTTTATTTTATTATTTTATTTATTATTATTATTTTTTTTTTGAGACGGAGTCTTGCTCTGTCACCCAGGCTGGAGTGAAGTGGCACCATCTCGGCTCACTGCAAGCTCCGCCTCCCGGGTTGACGCCATTCTCCTGCCTCAGCCTCCCGAGTAGCTGGGACTACAGGCGCCCGCCACCACGCCCAGCTAATTTTTTGTATTTTAGTAGAGACGGGGTTTCACCGTGTTAGCCAGGATGGTCTCGATCTCCTGAGCTCATGATCCGCCCACCCCGGCTTCCCAAAGTGCTGGGATTACAGGTGTGAGCACCCGGCCCGTTTTTACCCATTTTCTAATCAGATTTTTTGCTTTCATACTGCTGAGTTTAAAGAGTTATTTATATATTCTAGATACAAGTCCTTTGTTGGATAGCCAATTCGTGAATATTTTCTCCCAGTGTGTAGCTTGTTTTTTCATCCTCTTAACAGGGTCTTTCACTGAGCAATAGCTTTTAATTTTGATGAAGTCTAATTTACTGAGTTTTAAAAAATTTTCTGCAGGAGGCTGAGGCAGGAGAATTGCTTGATCTGGGGAGGTGGAGGTTGCAGTGAGCCGAGATCGCGCCATTGCACTCCAGCCTGGGCGACAAAGTGAGACTCTGTCTCAAAAAAAAAAAAAAAAAAAAAAAAAAAAAAAAAAAAATTCTGGATTGTGCTTTCGAGGACATACCTAAGAACTCTTTGCCTAGGCTAGATTTTTCTAAAAGTTTTATAGTTTATGTTTATCCTATGCCTTTTTCTAAATTTTTTTATAGTTTTATGTTTTACATTTACACCTATGATCAATTTTTAGTTAATTTTTGTACAAGGTGGGAGCTTTAGGCTGAGGTTTTTTTTATTTTATGGATATCCAATTGCTTTCCGCCATTCATTGAAAAGACTATTCTTCCTCCACTGAATGATTTTCGCAACTTAGTCAAAAATCAGGGGGATGGTGGCATGCTCTTGTAGTCCCAGCTACTCAGGAAGCTGAGGCAGGAGGATCACTTGAGCCCAGGAGCTCAAGACCAGTCTGGGCAGCAAAGAGAGACCCCTGTCTCTAAAAAAAAAGAAAAAAGAAAAAATCAGCTGGCTATACTTGTGTGCGTCTATTTCTAGGTCATCTATTCTGTTCCACTAATCAAAGTTTTTTAAAAAAGACAGGTAGAGGCTGGGTGCGGTGGCTCCGCCTGTAATCCCAGCACTTTGGGAGGCCAAGGTGGGTGGATCACTTGAGGTCAGGAGTTCAAGACCAGCCTGGCCAACATGGTGAAACCCTGTCTCTACTAAAAATACAAAAATTAGCTCGGCATGGTGGCAGGCGCCTGTAATCTTAGCTACTCAGGAGGCTGAGGCAGAAGAATCGCTTGAACCCGGGAGACAGAGGTAGCAGTGAGCCAAGATCGCACCACTGCACGCCAGCCTAGCTGACAAGAGGGAGACTGTGTCTCAAAAAAGAGACAGGTGGAGGTCCAAGAGAGAGAAGTATAGAAAAAATATCTTTTGGCCAGGCGAGATGTCTCACACCTGTAATCCCATCACTTTGGGAGGCTGAGATGGGTTTATTACCTGAGGTCAGGAGCTCGAGGCCAGCCTGGCCAACATGGTGAAACCCCATCTCTATTAAAAATACAAAATTTAGGTGGGTGTGGTGGCACATGTCTGTAATCCCAGCTACTCAGGAGGCTGAGGCAGGAGAATCACTAGAACTTGGGAGATGGAGTTTGCAGTGAGCCAGGATCACGCCACTGCACTCTAGCCTGGGCAACAGAGTGAGACTCCATTTCAAAAAAAAAAAATAAATAAATAAAAGAAAAAATATCCTTTGAATTTGGCAGTTAGTAGTTATTGATGACATTCATGATGAAGTGATGGAATTCCTAGAAGCCATATTGCCAAGAGCAGTGGGCTCAGGAGTGAATGACTGTATGCCTGGCTAGGAACAATGAGGATACTAAACACATACACGCAAATATTAAATACATTTGGCAATTTGTACATTAAATATTTATTAATGTTTTGGGAATGTTGTGTATCAGTAATTATACCTAGTAAAAAGAAAGATCCACATCCAAATTCTCCAGAAACGGGTGGCCAGGTAAGGAGGAAGAAGAGCATTTTAAAAACCAAAACCAAAACAAGGAAAAGCTAAAAAGAGTTTCTTCCAAATATCCTGAATTCATAGAGGTTGAATTCACATCTTCAGCCTCTATCCCCCAAAGTGAATTTTAAGGGACTTGAGAAGCTTATACCCCATCTGAAAACATGCTGCATGATTTCCTCTTTCACGTCTCCAGTTCCATACGTTTCTGTTATCCTTTGCTAGTAAAGAAATTTTAGATGTTTTTGTCTTTCCACCAATCATATCATAAGTCCCCTGTTGCCACTCATGCAGTCAGTGTCTTTTTTTTTTTTAATCTCTAGCACCTAGCATTTGGCAAGCACATAACAGATTCTAAATACATATTTGCTGAGTGGCTACTATATCATTATATCAATATTAGAATACTCAATTATTACCCTAATGAAAAAGAGAGATGGAGTTCCTTTATAACTGCCACTTTGAGTTTTTTTTCAGTTGTTTGGAATAAGAATGAAAATATTTACGTAATTAATCTGCAAATAGTGAATGCCAACAAAAATGTAATTCTTAAAACCCATATTGGCCGGGCACAGTGGCTCAAACCTGTATTTCTAGCAATTTGATAGGCCAAGGTGGGAGGATCACTTGAGTCCAGGAGTTCAAGACCAGCCTGGGCAATATAGTGAGATCTCATTTCTACAAATAATTTTAAAAATTATCCAAGCATGGTGGCATGTGATTGCAGTCCCAGCTACTCAGGAGGCTGAGGTGGGAGGACTGCTTGAGCCTGAGTGGTGGGGCTGCAGTGACCCGAGATCGCACCACTGCCCTCCAGCCTTGGTGACAGAGCAAGACCTTGTTTAAAACAAAAAAACAAAAAAATCTATATTGCCATATTGTTGTTCATGACATGTTTGCTCCCTTGGGAAGAGAAAATAAAAACCTCAGTTTCTAAATTTATTTATTTTCTAGAATGGGACTTAGCAGGTGGTCTTAGATGAAACTACTTTGCAATAATTTCTTTGAACATTTTCAAACAAGAAATATAAAAACTTGAACTCACTCCTTTTTTTTTCATTTCACTGGTCATCTGTCAAAAACAAACAGGATATAATTAAATCAAGGAGAACATTTTAAAATTAATTTAAATTGTTTAAAAATTAAATATATAGTTTAAATATATCTATTATTCCTTTTAAAAACATCAGTTATATTGAGATTGTCTTAACTACAAATTAAAATGATATAAGGATAAACTTTTTAACGAGAAAACATAAACTTACAGTTTGAGGATAATCAGGTGGTGGTAATAGAGGTGTTCTTTTACCCAGTGTTCTGTCTAAATTTCTTTTGGCTCCATCAATTCTGAAATTTATAGTTAGAAATATGACTCTCTTGATAACATTAGCATAAGTTACTAAAACATTACAATTTAAGCATTTTTCCAACTATACTAAGAGATATTCAAGAGTTATCTTACTGAATTTTTTATGAGAAACAAATCCCAATAGACATTATCAATGAGACCTTAATTTTTAAATAATGCATATATATGTAACAGGGTGAAACTAAAAATCAAAATCAAATTTTTTCAAGTATAACTTACTGACCATTTAAAAATTAATCCCAATGAATAGTGGGCACTTATATGTATTATCTCTGTTCAAATGTCTGCCGGTCTGTCAGAGAAGCCTCCCCGTACCCCCATATTAAGTAGTACCTCCTTCGATATCCATCCTTTTTATCCTCACTTATCTTGCTTCAAAGCACTTACCATCGTTTGATATAGAATATTTTGTAAACTGTTTTATTCACTGTGGTTATCCTCAGTGCCTAGAACAGTACCTGGCACATAGTAGCTGCTCAATAAACAGTTTACCTTCAAAACTGTTAAGAGATTTTTTTTGCATTCATAAGATATAATTTTCTCTTTAAATTAAGTTGTATAATCCTATTGTATAATCCCTTAATCTGTCAATAAATATTTATTGAATCCCTATATTATGTAAATCACAATACTAGATCCTATTAAAATATAACAACAAATCTCAAGGACTGATGAACTGTTTAAGTGAGAAGAAAAAAACAGAGTGCCATATAGGTACCCTGTGGTTCAGAGAGGGGACAAGTTAGTTCACTTTCATCTGTGAAGGCCACATACATGTTACCATTAGCAATGAGCTTTAAATGAAAGAGAGGATTTCAGGTGGAGACATAGTTTTCCTGGGATCTAAAAAAACAAAGACCCCAAGAAACAGGAAGGCAAGGAAAGGATCAAAGGGGGAAAAAGGAAGCAGGGGTCGTTCAATCCACCCAAAGGTGACAGTGTCAAGTGGAGATAAGTCTGGAGAAGTGGATTGAAATATCCAGCTAAAGGCCTCAAAAACAAGCTTTTTAATCCAATAGACAATGGGGAGTAATCGAGAGGTTTTGAGCATGGAAACATATTTAGGAAGACAAATCTAATAGTCTATAATGCTAGATATACTAGAAGAGATGGCCAAAGAAAAAAGCATACAAGGGAAATTAAAAGAGAATTCAGAAAAAATTGTAGGGTGTCAAGTACGACAGGAATGACGAAAAACAACAATTGAATGAGCAAAGGAGATACCATCAGGTAGGTAAGAGGAGAAACAAAAAAAAAAAAAAAAAGAAAAAAAATCTGAAGGAAAGGGTGTCCACTGGAGCTATAAAACCAAAGACTGGTAAGTAGCATAAAGACAAGGACCATGTCTATTTTGCTCACTGCTCTCCCCACACCACTTAAATAGTATCCATGAAGATGTAGGAGCTCAATAAGCATCTGGTGAATGAATGATCAGAATAGCATATTTGGAAATGATCTTGCATATCTAGTTTGGTACCTTACCTAATAGATGAATCCTCTCAGCAATATCAAGCTGTACCCATGGTACTCCAGGGGCACAGCTTGAGAGAACCATGAGAGTACTGTGAGATGGGTGGGGATGTTGAAAGAGAGGTGGCAGTCATCACTTTATTTTTTAAATTTTTGTGGGTACATAGTAGGCATATGTATTTATGGATTACATGAGATATTTTGATACAGGCATGCTATGCATAATAATCATATCAAGGTAAATAGGGTATCCATCACCTCAAGCATTTATCCTTTGTGTTACAAACAATTCAATTATACTTTTAGTTATTTTAAAATGTACAATTAAATTATTTTTATTATAGTTACCCTGTCATGCTAGCAAATAGTATGTCTTATTCTTTTTTTTTTTTTTTTTTTTTTTTGAGACAGAGTCTCACTCTGTCCCCCAGGCTGGAATACAGTGGCATGATCTCGACTCACCAAAACCTCTGCCACCCAGTTCAAGCAATTCTCCTGCCTCAGCCTCCCAAGTAGCTGGGATTATAGGCTCAGGCTACCAGGCCTGGCTAATTTTTTGTATTTTTAGTAGACATGGGGTTTCACCATTTTGGCCAGGCTGGTCTCAAACTCCTGACCTCAAGTGATCCACCTGCCTCGGCCTCCCAAAGTGCTGGGATTACAGGTGTGAGCCACTGTGCCTGGCCTTTTTTCTTTTTTTGTACCCATTAACCATCCCCAATTCCCTCCTCTCATCTTCCCCACTACCATTCACAGCCTCTGGTAACCAGCCTTCTACAATCTATTTCCATGAATTCAAAGAGTTTAATTTTTAGCACCCACAGATAAGTGAATGACTTTAATTTTTAGTGCCCACAGATAAGTGAAAACATGCAATGTTTGTCTTTCTGTGCCTGCCTTATTTCACTTAACATAATGACCATCCATGTTGTTGCAAATGATAGGTTCTCATTCTTTTTTTATGGCTGAATGGTACTCCATTATGTATATGTACCAATTTTCTTTATCCATTCATCTGGGTTTTTTGTTTTTGTTTTGTTTTATTTTTTTTAGGTAAGTTTATTAGAGAAGTAAAGAAACAAAAGAATGGCTACTCCATAGACAGAGCAGCCCATTCATCTGTTTATGGACACTGAGGTTGTTTCCAGATCTTTTTTTTTTTTTTTTTTTTGAGACAGAGTCTGGCTCTGTTGCCAGGCTGGAGTGTGGTGGCGTGATCTCAGCTCACTGCAACCTCTGACTCCCTGGTTCAAGCTATTCTGCCTCAGCCTCCCAAGTAGCTGGGACTCCAGGTGTGCACCACCACGCCCAGCTAATTTTTGTATTTTTAGTAGAGACGGGTTTCACCCAGTTGGCCAGGATGGTCTCGATTTCCTGACCTTGTGATCTGCCCACTTCGACCTCCCAAAGTGCTGGGATTATAGGCGTGAGCACTGCGCCCGGCCTCTTTTTTGTTGTTGTTGTTGTTTTGTTTTGAGACAGAGTCTTACTCTGTCACCCAGGTTGGGGTGTGGGTGGCACTATCTCAGCTCACTGCAACCTCCGCCTCCCAGGTTCAAGCAATTCTCCTGCCTCAGCCTCCTGAGTAGCTGGGATTACAGGCACCCACCGCCACACCCAGCTAATTTGTGTATTTTTATCAGAGACAGGGTTCCACCATGTTGGCCAGGCTCGTCTCAAACTCCTGACCTCAGGTGATCTGCCCCTGTTTGCTATTTTCATGTCTTCTTTTGAGAAATGTCTATTTAGATCTTTTGCCTATTTTTAAATCAGATTATTAGTTTTTCTTTTCCTATAGAGTTTGTAATAGGCCATTCTTGCATTGCTATAAATAACTAAGACAGGTGTGGTGACTCATGCCTGTAATTCCAGTCCTTTGGGAGGCCATGGCAGGAGGATTGCTTGAGCCCAGGAGTTTGAAACTAGACTGGGCAACACAGTGAGACTTTGTTTCCAAAAAACAAAAACAAAGGAAATTTTTTAAAAAGAGAGAAATATCTGAGACTGGGTAATTTATAAAGAAAAGAGGTTTAATTGGCTCCTGGTTCTGCAGGCTGCACAGGAAGCATAGCAGCATCTGCTGTTGGGGAGGCCTCAGGAAGCTTATAATCATGGTGGAAGGTGAAGGAAGAGCAGGCATGTCACATGGCGAAAGCAGGAGCAAGAGCAGGGGTGGGAGGCACACTTTGAAGCAACCAGATCTCACGAGAACTCACTATCATGAGGACAGCATCAAGGGGATGGTGCTTAACCATTTATGAGACATCTACCCACATGATCCAATCACCTCCCACCAGGCCTCACCTCCAATACTGAGGAATACAATTCAACATGAGATTTCAGTGGGGTCACACATCCAAACTATATTAGAGTTGTTAGAGCTCTTTATATATTACGGTTATTAATCCCTTGTCAGATGGGTAGTTTGCAAATATTTTTTCCCATTCTATGGGTTGTCTCATCATGTTGTTATTTCCTTTGCTGTGAGGAAGCTTTTTAACTTGATATGATCCCATTTGTCTATTTTTGCTTTGGCTGCCTGTACTCGTGGGGTATTACTCAAGAAATCTTTTCCTACTCCAATATTCTGGAGAGTTTCACCCAGTGTTTTCTTGTAGTAGTTTCGTAGTCTTAGATTTAAGTCTTTTTTTAATCTATTTATTTTTTTTGAGACAGAGTTTCGCTCTTGTTGCCCAGGCGGGAGGGCAATGGTGCAATCTCGGCTCACCGCAACCTCCGCCTCCTGGGTTCAAGCGATTCTCCTGCCTCAGCCTCTTGAGTAGCTGGGATTACAGGCATGCACCACCATGCCTGGTTAATTTTGTATTTTTAGTAGAGACAGGGTTTCTCCATGTTGGTCAGGCTGGTCTCGAACTCCTGACCTCAGGTGATCCACCCACCTTGGCCTCCCAAAGTGCTGGGATTACAGGCGTGAGCCACTGCACCCGGCCTAGGATTGTTTTTTCTATATCTGTGAAGAATGTCATTGGTATTTTGATAGAGATTGCATTGAATCTGTAGATATTTGGGGGGTAGTACAGACACTTTAACAATATTAATTCTGCTGGGCCAGGCGCGGTGGCTCACGCCTATAATCCCAGCCCTTTGGGAGGCCAAGGGGGGGGGATCCCCTGAGGTCAGGAGTTTGAGACCAGCCTGACCAACATGGAGAAACCCCATCTCTACTAAAAATACAGAATTAGCCAGGTGTGATGGGGCATGCCTGTAATCCCAGCTACTCGGGAGGCTTGAGGCAGGAGAATCCCTTGAACCCGGGAGGCGGAGGTTGCGGTGAGCCGAGATCATGCCATTGCACTCCAGCCTGGGCAACAAGAGCTAAACTCTGTCTCAAAAAAAAAAAAACAATATTAATTCTGCCAATAAATGAACATGGAATATCTTTCCATTATTTTCTGGGATTTTCAATTTCTTTTTTTTTGAGACGGAGTTTTGCTCTTTGTTGCCCAGGCTGGAGTGCAGTGGCATGATCTTCGCTCACTGTAACCTCTGCCATCTGGGTTCTAAGCAATTCTCCTGTCTTAGCCTCCTGAGTAGCTGGGATTACAGGTTCCCACCACCATACCAGCTAATTTTTGTATTTTTAGTAGAGATGAGGTTTCACCATGTTGGCCAGGCTGGTCTCAAACTCCTGACCACAGGTGATCCACCTGCCTCAGCCTCCCACAGTGCTGGGATTACAGGCGTGAGCCATCGCGCCTGGCCGATGAATGACCTTTTTAATGTGTCGTTGAATTTGTTTTGCTAGTATTTTGTTGAGGATTTTTGTATCAATATTCATCTGTGATACTGGCCTGCAGTTTCCTTTTTTTGATGTATCTTTGTCTGGTTTTGGTATCAGGGTAATACTGGCCTCAAAAAATGAGTTTGGAAGTATTCCCTCCTCCTCTATTTTTCAGACTAGTTTAAGTAGCATTGGTATTAGTTCCTCTTTAAATGTTTAATAGAATTCAGCAGTGAAGCCATAAGGGCCTGGGCTTTTTTTGCTGGAAGACGTTTTATTATGGCTTCAATCTCATTACGTTATTGGTCTGTTCAGGTTTTGGATTTCTTCATGGTTCAATCTCTGTAGGTTGTATTTGTCTACAAATGTATCCATTTCTTCTAGATATTCCAATTTATTGGCATACAGTTGCTCATCATAGCCACTAATGATCCTTTGAATTTCTGCAGTATCAATTGTAATGTCTTCTTTTTCATCTCTGATTTTATTTATTTGGATCCTCTCTCTTTTTTTCCTAGTCTGGTTAAAGGTTTGTCTATTTTGTTTAACTTTTCAAAAAAATCAACTTTCTGTTTCATTCATCTTTTGTATTGTTTTCTTCATTCCAATGTCATTTATTTCTCCTCTGATCTTTATTATTTCTTTTCTTCAGCTAATTTTGGTTTGGTTTGCTCTTGTTTTTGTCATTTGTTAAGATGCATCACTAGGTTATTTATTTGAAGTTTTTCTTCTTTGTTGATGTAGACACTTATAGCTATAAATTTCTCTTTTAGTACTGCTTTCACTGTATCCCATAGGTTTTCATATGTTGCATTTCCATTATCATTTGTTTCAAGAAAATTTTCAATTTCCTTCTTAATTTCTTCATTGACTCACTGGTCACTCAAAAGCATATTTTTTAATTTCCATCTGTTTGTATAGTTTCCAAAATTCCTCTTGTTATTGATTTCTAGTTTTATTCCATTGTGGTCAGAGAAGGTGCTTGATATTATTTCAAATTCTTTGAATGTTTTAAGTTCAATTCAAATTTTTTGAATGTTTAAGCTGGGCATGAGTCACCATGCCCAGCCAGTAATAAAACTCTACACACCTTGATTTCATCCCCCTGCTTTTTAACTTTTTGTTGTTTCTATTTATATCTTATTATACTTTCTATGTCTTTTTTTTTCTTGTTACAGAACAATAAACACCTTTATTACATAAGCAAATACAGAAAGGATGAGGATTTATTTGCCTTTCTGGGCCTTGATTTTCCAAAGATAAAACTCCAACTCCCAGGCCTCTAGCACATAGCCATCTGCTGGGCCACACTGCTCTGGCCTTGATGTGATACATGCCAGATGCTTGCCCTGCTGGAACTGCTCCTCCAGAAGACTGCTGATTTTGGCATTCTTTTTCCTTTCATCATATTTCTTCTAAATTTTTTTAGATTGTTTTTTGTTTAAAATCTCTTCCTCCTCAGGAGTCAGCTTGGCCCCCTTCTTGCAGCCCAGGGACAATGTATAGTGGGATTTTCACCACTGTCAGTAGAGTGTGCTGTCACTGAGCACGATGCAGTTCTTCAATAGCATCTTGGTACGGACCAGTTTGTTATTGGACACACTGTAGACAACATTGATGATCCTTGTTTTGCACCTACATCACTTGGAGCCCCAGGAGAAATTCCCCACATCCAGCCTCAAGGTACAGTATTTCTTGTTACGTCCCTGCACACAGACTGTGTGGACGCAGCGGGGGCCAATCTTGGTGTTGGCAGCGGGGCACTCCAGCTCATACTTCCACTTCTTGTGGGAGGGCTTACTCTTGCCCCTGTCTTGCAGCACTTGTGCCAGTTGTCACGAGAGCCCATTGCTCGACATCTGTACTATGTCTTGAAAAATTGTTATTGTTTTGATTGGTTCATCTTTTAGTCTTTCTACTTAAGAGTAGTTTACACACCACAGTTACAGTGTTATAATATTCTGTGTTTTTTCTCTGTACTTAATATTACCACTGAGTTTTGTACTTTCAGATGATTTCTTGCTGCTCATTAACATCCTTTTCTTTCTGATTGAAGTACCTTCTTTAGCATTTCTTGTAGGACAGGTCTGATGTTGATGAAATCCTTTAGCTTTTGTTTGTCTAGGAAAGTCTTTATTTCTCTTTCATGTTTAAAGCATATTTTTTCCAGATGCAGTAGTCTAAGGTTCCTTCAGCACTTTAAATATTTCATTCCACTTTCTCTTGGCTTGTAAGGTTTCCACTGAAGTCTGCTGCCAGACATACTGGAGTTCCATTGTATGTTATTTGTTTCTTCTGTTGCTTTTAGGATCCTTTCTTTATCTTTGAGCTTTGGGAGTTTGATTATTAAATGCCTTGAGGGGCCAGGCGTGGTGGCTCACGTCTGTAATCCCAGCACTTTAGGAGGCTGAGGGAGGTGGATAACTTGAGGTTAGGAGTTCGAGACCAACCTGGCCAACATGGCAAAACCCCATATCTACTAAAAATACAAAAAAAATATCTGGGTGTGGCGGCATGTGCTGTAATCCCAGCTACTCAGGAGGCTGGGGCAGAAGAATCCCTTGAACCCAGGAGGCTGAGGTTGCAGTGAGCTGAGATCACACCACTGTACTCTAGCCTGGGCGACAGAGCAAGACTCCACTCCATCTCAAAAAAAAAAAAAAAAAAAAAAAAGCCTTGAGGTCATCTTCTTTGGGTTAAATGTTAAATCTGCTTGGTGTTCTATAATCTTCTTGTACTTGAATGTCAATTATCTTTTTCTAGGTTTGGGAAGTTCTCTGATATTATCTCTTGGAATAAACCTTCTATCCTGTCTCTTTCTCTACCTCCTCTTTAAGGCCAATTACTCTTAGATTTGCCCTTTGGAGGCTATTTTCTAGATCTTGTAGGCATGTTTCATTCTTTTTTATTCTTTTTTGTCTCCTTTATGTATTTTCAAATAGCCTGTCTTCAGGTTCACTAATTCTTTCTGCTTGATCAATTCTGTAATTAAAACTGCTATTAAAAGAACGCTGATCCATTCTTCAGTATTTCAATTGCATTTTTCAACTCCAGAATTTCTGCTTGATTTTTAATTATTTCAATCTCCTTGTTAAGTTTATCTGATAAAGTTCGAAATTCTTTCTCTGTGTTATCTCGAATTTCTTTGAGTCTCCACAAAACCACTATTTTGAATTCTCTGTCTGAAAGGTCACATATCTTTGTTTCTCCAGGATTAGTTCCTGGTGCCTTATTTAGTTTGGTGAGGTCATGTTTTTCTGGATGGTGTTGATGCTTGTAGAAGTTCTTCAGTGTCTGGGCACTGAAGAGTTAAGTACTTATTGCAGTCTTCGCAGTCTGGGCTTGTTTGTGTCTGTCCTTGGGAAGGCTTTCCAGGTATTTGAAGGAACTTGGGTGTTGTGATCTAAGCCATATCTGCATTAGGGGGCACCCCAAGTCCAGTAACATCATGGTTCTTGCAGACTCATAGAAGTATCACCTTGTGGTCATGGATAAGATCCAGAAGTATTCTCTGGATTACCAGACAGAAACTCTTGGTTTTTTTCCCCTTACTCTCTCCCAAACATTCAGACCCTCTCTCTGTGTGCTGAGCTGCCTGGAGCTGGAGGTGGGATGACACAAGCACTGCTATGGCCACCACCACTCAACTGTGCTAGGTCAGATCTGAAGCCAGCATAGCACTGGGTCTTGCCCAAGACCCACTGTATCCACTACCTGGCTACCACCTATGTTCACTCAAAGCCGTAGGTCTCTACAATCAGCAGGTGGTGAAGCAAGACAGGCTTCTGTCCCTCCCTTTCAGGAGGTGAGTTCCCCAAGCCCCAGGTGGGTCCAGAGATCCCAACTGGGAGCTAGGGACTGGAGTCAAAAACCTTAGAAATCTACCTGGTGTCTTATTATACTGCTGCTGGGCTAGCACTCGAACCATGAGACTCAGTCCTTCCTACTTTTCCCTCCCCTTTCACAGGCAGAGGAGCCTCACCCCACGGCCACCAATGTCACAGGCCCATATGGATCACTGCCAGGCTACTCCCAATGTTCACTTAAGGCCCAAGGGCTCTTCAATCAGTTTGTGGTGAATGCTGCGTGGCCTGGGACTCACCCTTCAGGGCATTGGGCTCCCCTCTGGCCCAGGGCAGGTCCAGAAATGCCATCCAAGAGCCAAGGCCTAGAATCAGGGACCCCAAGAGCCCGCTTGGTGCTCTACCCCACTGTGCCCTACCTGCTACCTAAGACGCAAAACAAATTTCCCTTTACTTTTTCCTCTGCTTTTTTCAAGCAGATGGCATCTGTCACCATAGCCAACAGGGCTGTGAATGTGCTTGGCCTAACCTGGATAATTTCAGACAAGCCAGCATGCCTCAGAGTCTCACTCAAGGCCCACAGTGTACTACCTGAGTATTGCTGATAGTTATTCAAGGCCCAAGGGCTCTTTAGTCAGTAAGTGATGGGTCCTGCCATGACCGCATCCTTCCCTTCAAGGCAGCAGGTTCCCTTCTGGCCAACGATGTGTCAATAAATGTAATCCAGAAGCTAGGGCCCAGAATGGGGTTCTCATGACTCTGCCTGGTGCCCTATCCTAGTGTGACTGAGCGGGTATCCCAGATGCAAGACAAAATTCTCTTTGCTCTTCCCTTTCCTCTCTTCATGCGGAAGGAAGGGTCTCTTTTGGAGCTGCAAACTGTGCAGCCTGGGGTTAGGGGTTAGGAAAGGAGTGGCACAAGTACTCCCTTAACAGCACCTGCTGGTGTCTCAGTAGGTCATGTGCCCCTGCAGTCCACTGGATCTGAGCTCAGCTCAGCACTAGGACTTACCTAGGAGTTGCAGTCCTTGTGGCCTAGACTGCCTTTCAAGTTTATTTAGGGCCCCAGGGTACTTTAGCACTCCATGATAAGGCTTCCCAGAACTCAAGTTCTGATCACTGGGATGTGCGATTCCCCTCTGGCTGGGGCTGGCCTATATGCTCCCTCTGTGGGCAGGCATCACCTGAGTTCAGCTCAGTTTTGCTTTCCACTGTGACAAGGCAGCATTGAGTTCAATGCAAAGTCTCACAATCACTGCACTCTCCATCCCCAAGTGCACAGATTCTCTCTCCATGCCATGCAGCCACTGCTGGGATTGGGGGTGATTGGTATCAGCAATTCAAGACTCTTTCCTGCCCTCTTCAGTGCCTTTCAGTAATATGAAGTTAAAACAAGGTATTGTGAGTTCTCATCTGATTTTTTGGTTCTTATGAAGGTGTTTTTTTGTGTGTAGAAAATTGTTAAATTTTGTGTTCCTGTTGAGGGGTATGTTCAGTGGAGCCTTCTATTATACCATCTTGCTCTGTTCCCCCACCCCACCACCACCATGATCACTTTCTGAGGTAGCCCAATTTATTGTTAGCTAGCTTTTTTTTTTTTTTTTTTTGAGACAGAGTCTGGCCCAGTTGCCTGACTGAAGTGCAGTGGTGTGATCTCTAATCACTGCAGCCTCCACCTCCCAGGTTCCAGTGATTCTCCTGCCTCAGCATCCCAAGTAGCTGAGATTACAGGCATATGCCACCATGCCCGGCTAATTTTTGTATTTTTAGTAGAGATGGGGTTTCACCATATTGGATAGTCTGGTCTCGAACTCCTGACCTCTGGTGATCCACCCGCCTTGGCCTCCCAAAGTGCTGGGATTACAGGTGTGAGTCACTATGCCTGGCCAGTTAGCTCATATTCTTAGAAACAAATTTCTTATATTGAGCTGTATGTTTGTAACTTCTAGTCTCTGAAGCTATACAGAAAAAAGTCATATTCTTTGTTCATGTTTACTTATCTGGTTCCTTTAATTATTCCTGTCAATGAATTACTGTTTATTATGAGTTTATTATGTTTTAGGCATAGGCTTAAGATCTTTATATGCATTTAATTCTCACAACATTCCTAAAACATACACACTATTTCTATCTCCATATTACCGATAGGAACATGAAGATAAATTAGGTAACTTGCCAAATTCACATGGTTAATAAGCTGCAGAGATGGTATATGAACTCAGGCCTGATTGATGGCAGAGCCTATAGTCTAATTAAGTGAATCAGCTTCCTTCAAATTTCCTCACTCTCCTCTTGCTATGGTTTAAATGTGTCCCCCAAAAGTTCACGTGTTGGAAACTTAATGCCTCTGTCCTCATGAATGAATTAATGGGTTAATGAGGGCTGTGCCCTCATGATTGGATCAATGTCACTATCAAAGAAGTGGGCTCATTATCATTGGAATGGCTTTGTTATAAAAGCAAGCTCTCTCTGACTGTCTTGCCCTCTCACCATGTGATGCTTTCCATCATGTTATCACTCAGCAAGAAGGCCCTTACAAGATGTCAGCACTATGCTCGTGAACTTCCCAGTCTCTAGAACTGTGAGCTAAATAAACCTCTATTTTTTTTATATTTTATTTTATTTTATTTTTTATTTTTAAGACAGAGTTTTGCTCTTGTTGCCCAGGCTGGAGTGCAATGGCATGATCTCGGCTCACCACAACCTCCGCCTCCCGGGTTCAAGTGATTCTCCTGCCTCAGCCTCCCGAGTAGCTGGGATTACAGGCATGTGCCACCACACCTGGCTAATTTTGTATTTTTAGTAGAGATGGGGTTTCTCCATGTCGGTCAGGCTGGTCTCGAACTCCCAACCTCAGGTGATCCTCCTGCCTTGGCCTCCCAAAGTGCTGGGATTACAGGCGTGAGCCACCACACCCCAATTTTTTTTTTTTTTTGAGACAGAGTCTAGCTCTATTGCCCAGCTGGAGTACAGTGGCTCGATCTCAGCTCACTGTAACCTCGGCCTCCCGGGTTCAAGTGATTCTCCTGCCTCAGCCACCTGAGTCGCTGGGATTATAGGCATCCGCCACCATGCTTGGCTAATTTTTGTATTTTTAATAGAGACGGGGTTTCACTGTGTTGGCCAGGCTGGTCTCGAACTCCTGACCTTGTGATCCACCCACCTTGGCCTCCCAAAGTGCTGGGATTACAAGCATGAGCCACCACGCCTGGCCTAAACCTCTATTCTTTATAAATTATCCAGTCTGTAGTATTCAGTTATAGCAATAAAAAATAGACTAGGATACTTCTGTAGCTATTCTAGTTTATCAGTGTCCCTCTTTTTATTTTTATTTTATATGGAACACCTCACAAATTTGTATGTCATCTTTGCGCAGACACCTTACTAATCTTCTCTGTATTGTTCCAATTTTTGTGCATGTGCTGCCAAAGTGAGCACTCAAAGTCCCTCTTAAAGTGTGATCCCAGAATTCCATATGTTTGACCAGTGCAGAGTGAAAATTTTCTCTCCCATTTCCTAGACATGCTACATTTATTAAAGTATCCTAAAACTGAATTAGCCTTTTTGAGCAGCCTCATTTCCCTGTTCAATCTTACTAAGCCTGTACTAAACTAAAACTCCTAAGACTTTCTCACATGAAGTAGAAAATGTGCCTGGATATCCTCCTCCTTTCTTTGTTAATCTTCAAGACGTTGGCCAGGCTTCCCTTCATCCATCATTTCTCCCTAAAGAGTCTAGCTCTCAGTGATTGCTACTTCCAAGGAATTTACCTTATACTTTGGTATGCACTAGTTGGCACTAGTCATAGTTAGCCTTGCACTGTAATTATCCCAACATAAATATGCCTGACTTCCGGTTCTTTATATATGAATGCCACCCTTTAACATAGCAACAATTTCTGGAGCATGTTTTCTCCTACTGGCTATAAATAAAAAGAGCTGGGAAGAACATACAAGTGAGCCTTTTCACTACCTGACTGTTTTTGATTTGTATATTAGCGATTATAAACAGGCCGGGTACAGTGGCTCCCAGCACTTTGGGAGGCCAAGGCAGGTAGATCACTTGAGTTCAAGACCAGCCTGGGCAATATGGTGAGACCTCATCTCTACGAAAAAATACAAAAATTAGCCAGGTGTGGTGGCGCACACCTGTAGTCCCAGCTACTCAGGAGGCTGAGGTGGGAGGATTGCTTGAGCCAGGAAGGCAGAGGTTGCAGTGAACAGAGATCGCACCACTGCCCTCCAGCCTGGGCAAAAGAGTGAGACCTTGTCTCAGAAAAAAAAAAGAGGGGGTGGCAAAAACATGAATAATCATAGCTAAACTAAAAAATTTTGTAATAAAATCAAATAAATAAAAACTTGATAATTTCAAATGACTGGGTGAGAAACCACATGCAGTAAAGGAGAGAAACTGGCTTGAATCAAGAGATGAGGTAGTAGCTAAGGAAGAAGGCAGGCTCATTCTTGAGACTCTGGAAAGCTACAAAATGATACTGGCTCAGCCAAGCATTCCCAGGGACTGGTCCTAGTAGGGGGTCCACTTCTGCCCATGACTCTTTACATCCTACCTCACCCCAGGAACTCCCTCTATCCACAGACTTCACTCCACCTTTGAAAAAGAGAAGTCTGCGCTCCTGTCATCTAACAGGTGCAGATAGCAAGGGGATGGAGAATCCCAAAGTCCATGGCCACCCAGAAAGATATGTTTGCAGTTTTTTTAAAAAACCTTTAATTTTATCAGGTATTTTTTAAAAAATGGTTTCTAAAAGTTTTTTTTTTTTTTTGAGACAGAGTCTTGCTCTGTCGCCAGGCTGGAGCGCAGTGGCATGATCTTGGCTCACTGCAACCTCCGCCTCCAGGGTTCAAGTGATTCTCCTGCCTCAGCCTCCCGAGTAGCTAGGACTACAGGCATGCACTACCACGCCCAGCTAATTTTTGTATTTTTAGCAGAGACGGTGTTTCACCATGTTGGCCAGGATGGTCTCAATCTCCTGACCTCATGATCCGCCCGCCTTGGCCTCCCAAAGTGCTGGGATTACAGGCGTGAGCCACCACGCCCGGCTGAAAGTTTTTGCATTAGACCTTTGGACAGCTAAAAATGAGTTTGAAATCCAAGGAGAATAAACCAAATATACTTAAAGTTTTTGAAAGTAGCGAAAAGAAACACACACAAGATAAAGTTAGTTTTCAAAGAATGAGCTTATTAATAAGGAGAAGGAAAAAAATGAAGTGGAATTCAGTAAGAGGTAAAGTTTAGCAAAGTGAGCGCTGACTGAAGTAACATTTTTTTTCTTTTAAATGAACCTAACATTGTGAACATATCCAGGAAAATAAAACAAAACCAATAATTCAAAATGCATTTTTCCCAAAGAAATGCCTAGCAATTCTAATCTCAGTATTAATACAGCACTATGCTTCAGGTAATTTTGAGGCAGTGTTTTTAAATTAAGCACCAAAATAAAAGTTGTACTACTTACAGATCTGTATAAAGCACAATAAAGGCAAGGTTCTTCCCTAAAAATTCATTCATCCCTTCATTCATTCATCAACAATAACATGCCAAACCCTTTGATTTGTGTTGAGATCCCTCTCCTTAAGCATGTCAAAGTGGAGAAGACAACAAAGAAAATAAAAGTACATTGTGTTATAACATACTCTGTGCTTATGACATCCTGCTCTTCTGCTTTTCCTCCTGCCTTACCAGTTATACTTACACTACCTGCTGGTTGACTTTTCTCCGCACATCTAACCTTTTGCCCTAGGCCTTTGCCTTTCTCAGTTCACTTGCTCACTTGCGCTCTCTCCTGTGTTCTCTCTTGCCTAACTCTCACTCTCGCTCTCTCTGTGATTCCAACAATTCCCTATAGCTTTAAAAATCATCTACATGCTGGTGACTCCCAAATTTTTACATCTCCAGCCTAGACTTCTTCTCTTATATATCCAACTGCTATTAATGTATTTCCCTTTAAATGTTATATGGCACTTAAGCTCCAAAAGAGAATTATTGCTTTTTACCCCCCACCTCCTGGACTTCCTCAATTCTCTATAAATGGTACTACTATCCACCTAGCTACCAAAGCTAACCCAACAGCCAATCCTACTGATTCTGCCTCTGACACACATCTCTTGTAAACCTACTTTCCTCCTCCACTGTCTCCAGCCTTATCCAAACCACCATAAGTTCTCATCTATGCTACTGTAGTGGCATCCTCCCTGGTCTCTTTGTGTCCCCCTATTCCTGCCCTCTTCCTCTCCACCTCAGTCTATTCTTAATAGCCAGAGTGATATCTTTTAAATGTAAATCAGGTTTCATGTCACTTCCTTGTTTGAAACATTTCAGTAGTTTCCACTGGACTTAAAAATAAAATCTGAATTCTTTGTCATGGCCGACAAGGCCCTACACTATCTGCTCCCACCTCCCTCTCCATCTTCACCTGATACTACCCTTCCCCAGGTTCATGATACTCTAGAGATGTTGGTCTTTGTCAGTTCCTAGAATGTACTGAAAGCATTCACATTTCAGGGATTTCATGCTTGCTATCCCCTTTGCTAGAGAGCTTTTCTCATGTTTACTTAGATGACAGTCTTCTTCTCATTCTCTGGATCTCTCCTTACATATTACCTCCACAGGCCTTTCCTGTGGTGCTCCTGGGAATATCTTCTCTCTATCCCACTGTCTTATTTCTTTCCTTTTCCTTTTTTTTTTTTTTTTGAGATGGACTCTTGCTCTGTCACCCAGGCTGGAGTGCAGTGGCACAATCTTGGCTCACTGCAACCTCCGCCTCCCAGGTTCAAGTGTTTCTCCTGCCTCAGCCTCCCGAGTAGCTGGGACTACAGGTGCCTGCCACCATACCCGGCTAATTTTTTGTATTTTTTTTAGTAGAGACAGGGTTTCACTGTGTTAGCCAGGATGGTCTTGATCTTCTGACCTTGTGATCTGCCCGCCTCAGCCTCCCAAAGTGCTGGGATTACAGGAGTGAGCCACCGTGCCCGGCCCCACTGTCTTATTTCTTCGTAGCATCTATCATCATCTAAAAGGTTAACATGACTTTTTTGTTTTTTACATATTTACTATCTGTTTCCTCTCACTAGCATACAAACAACTTAAAGACACAATCCTTTCTGTTGTGTTTTCTTTTTTCTTTTTTTTGAGATGGAGTCTCGCTCTGTTGCCAGGCTGGAGTGCAATGGCTCGCTCTCAGTTCACTGTAACCTCCACCTCCCCGGTTCAAGCTATTCTCATGTCTCAGCCTCTCCAGTAGCTGGGATTACAGATGCCCGCCAAGACGCCTGGCTAATTTTTGTATTTTTAGTAGAGACAGGGTTTTGCCATGTTGGTCAGGTTGGCCTCGTACTCCTGACCTCAGGTGATTCACCTGCCTCGGCCTCCCAAAGTGCTGGGATTACAGGTGTAAGCCACCGTCTGTTGTGTTTTCTATGGTCTCCTCAGTAACAGGTATCTGTGTAACAGCAGATACTTACTATCTGCTAAATAAACTGTTGTGAGAGAAATGCGTGCATGAAAGGGATTAGGAGAAGGCTTTCTAGAGGAGGTGATCCATAAACTAAACCTGGAAGAACAAGGATAAGTATTCAGGCAGACAGTGCAGTGAGGGAAATTGCAGAGCGTATCTCTAAACTGTGAAAAATACAGTATATTTGTGAAACTGCAAGCAGTTCAACATGATAATGCAAGATAATGAAAAGTTATGGAGTAAAAACAATCTAGGCCTGATGCAGTGGCTCATGCCTGTAATTCCAGCACTTTGGGAGGCCAAGGCAGATGGATCACTTAAGCCCAGGAATTTGAGACCAGACTGGGCAACATGGCGAAACCATGTCTCTTCAAAAATACAAAAAATTAGCCAGGTGTGGTGGTGTACGCCTGTAGTCCCAGCCACTTGAGAGGCTAAGATGGGAGGATCACGAGAGTCCAGGAGGTTGAGGCTCCAGTGAGCTGAGATCGTGCCACTATACTCCAGCCTGGGTGACAGAGCAAGACCCTGTCTCAAAAAGAAAAAAAAAAAGGAACAATGTATAATTCCTAGAGAACTCCCTTCTCTAAATCTACTGAAACACTGAATAGAATCTTAGGAATGAAGGAGGAATGCATCTCTCCCCCTCCCTTTTATTTTTTTGAGATGGAGTCTCGTTTTGTCACCCAGGCTGGAGTGCAGTGGTGTGATCTCAGCTCACTGCAACCTCCCCATCCCAGGTTCAAGAGATTCTCCTGCCTCCGCCTCCTGAGTAGCTGGGATTACAGGCACCTGCCACCACGCCAAGCTAATTTTTTGTATTTTTAGTAGAGATGGGTTTCACCATGTTGGCCAGGCTGGTCTTGAACTCCTGACCTCAGGTAACCCATCCACCTCAGCCTCCCAAAGTGGTAGGATTACAGGTGTGAGCCACTGCACCCGGCCTCTCTTTTTCTTTTAAGACTATTTTTGTCTGCTTGTTTGAGATAGGGTCTCATGCCATTGCTCATTGCTGGGAGTGCAATGATGCCATCACATCTTGCACACTACAGCTTTGACCTCCTGGGCTCAACCAATACTCCTGCCTCTGCCTCCCAAGTAGTTAGGACCACAGGCATGCCCCACCACACCTGGCTAATTTTTTTTTTTTTATAGCGATGAGGGTCTCACTACCTTGCTCAGACTCATCTCAAATTCCTGGGCTCAAGCAATCCTCCCACTGTGGCCTCCCAAAATGCTGAGATTACAGGCATGTAATCTTTTTTTTTTTTCTGTCTAAGTCTTGAATACTTAAGCATCTCTAATAGTACATATACTGATATTAGTTTATATACCCTATAAATGTATATTTAAATATGAGTAAATTATTGCTGGACTAATACAAATGTAAATCTAAAGAAGGTATATGATTAATAGACCTGTTTAATTGTAAGGAAAGTAAAATTAGCAAAAATTAAAATTATTAAATTGGCAATGATACTTAGCTGCAAAAAAAGGTTTTTAAATAAGGCCGACCAAGAAAGGAAAGAGAATGTAGAAAGGGAAACAGAAATCCACCAAAGAGAAAACCTCATTTTATAGTTTAAGTGTTGGCTTGGAATTTTGTAAATGAAATCCATGTATTTTTCTTTTTATTTATCCCTAGAAACCAGCAGAATCGGCTGTCTAGGAAATTCTCAGTAACTGTCTAATTGAACTGAACCAACCTCATCACAGCCTTTGGCAGCAGGTACCCAAATTAGTTTTAATTTCCACTAAACTGGGGGGGGGGGGGGCGGTGAGTAGGATGTTGAACTCTGTTTCCTTTTGTAGCAAAAAAATTTCAAATATAAGTAGTTTCAAGATATTTTATTAAGTATTTGTTCAAATTGTAGGGGTTCAGTTATTTGATTTTACTTTCAGGGACCAGTATGGTTATAATATATTGAAAGGAGGAATAATGTGGTGCTTAAAGAATGTGAACTTTAGAACCAGACCAACCAGGTCCAAATCCCAGCTGTGCAACCTTAGGCAAGTTACTTAACTTCTCTATACCTCAGTATACTCATCTAAACAATGGAGCTAACAATAGTACCTACCTTATAGGATTGTTGCAAGAAGTATAGGCGATAAGAACAATGTCTGTCAGTGTACAGTGTATAATATTTGCTACCATTACAATTACTTTTCAATTGTTTTTCTAATTAACTTGAAAATAGTATTTTACCCATGAACAACCTCCACAGTTAAAACTTTTTAGGAGAATATGAACACTAATCATTTTACTTGAATTCCAAGCAAGAATTATCTACTAATATGCTACTTACACTAACTGATTAATTTTCTGCTGCTGCTCCTTGGATCTTCTGTATTTTAGCAGCTTACTTTGTGTTGGTGTATCAACGCCTATGTTTTCTGGGAGATGGACAATGGGGGGTAACTTCAAGTTCAGAGCTTCCTTTTCTGCTGCAATGGCAGCTTTGTTTGCATCTGACATCTTGATCCCCTAAAGATTAAAATACTCTGTACTCTGAGGAGAAAAAGTCCATAAAGCCATTATTATGTCAGCAAGCCTCGACACATTCATAACATATCTAACATATCAATACCAAAAGTAAAATTCTAGACACTTTTGGATCTTCCTCCCAAGTATGGTATTAGTCTAAAGAATGACAGTTGAGGTAAGTTGGCAGGGATTCCTGTTAGAACTCTAAAACTCACTTATGAAGCAATGAGCCAGTCAGTTCCCCTTCAGGGCTTGTTTCCTAATGGATGAAACTAAGGAATTGAATTAGATGCTCTGTAAATATCCCTACAGCTGTAGCATTCTGGGTGCAAAATTTTCCCGAGATGCAAACCACTACCACCACCACCACAACAAATCCAGTTGTTGAGGGATGATCCCCTTCCCAGTAAAAGCTGATATTTAACATCATTAATGGTTTTTTTTTTTTTTTTTTTTTTTTTGAGACAGATTCTTGCTCTGTCGCCCAGGCTGGAGTGCAATGGCGCGATCTTGGCTCACTGCAACCTCCGCCTCCCAGGTTCAAGTGGTTCTCCTGCTTCAGCCTCCCGAGTAGCTAGGACTACAGGTGCGCAACCACGCCCAGCTACTTTTTTGTGTTTTTAGTAGAGACAGGGTTTCACCATGTTGGCCAGGCTGGTCTCGAACTCCTGACCTCAGATGATTTCCCGCCTCGGTCCCCCAAAGTCCTGAGATTACAGGCGTGAGCCACCGCCCCCAGCCAATCATTAATATTTTTAAACATCAGTATGATATCTTAGTCTTGCTGCCTTCCAAGAAAGTGATGCTATGATCAAGCAAAAAATAGGCATACTTGATGCATGGCAAATATAAAATGTCATGTAAATGCTCAAAAATTTTACTGTGGGCCAGGCGCGGTGGCTCACGCCTGTAATCCCAGCACTTTGGGAGGCCGAGGTGGGCGGATCACCTCAGGTCGGGAGTTCGAGCCCAGCCTGGCCAACATGGTGAAACCCCATCTCTACTAAAAATACAAAAATTAGCCGGGCGTGGTGGCAGGCGCCTGTAATCCCAGCTACTCAGGAGGCTGAGGCACAAGAATCGCTTGAACCTGGGAGGCAGAGGTTGCAGTGAGCTGAGATCCCGCTACCGCACTTCAGCCTGGGCGATAAAGCGAGACTCCGTCTCAAAAAAAAATTGTACTGTGATAACAACTATATTTGCCATGAATGCCTACAGGATTTGGAGATTCCTGCCTTGAAAGAGTGTTTAAGTTGGCACCCAAATCGCGATACCTGCCCTGGGAGAGAAAGGAAGAGAACAGCAGAGAACAAGTACCTGATTGTTTCTCACTACTTCCCCGCTGCGCAGACGCCAGAGAGAGAGAGAGACAGTCAGAGCCTCTCCTCAGGTGAAAGGCAGGGGGATAACGAGGGAGAAACCTCCGGAACGCCACCGGCTCTCAAACGAGTAGCTGGAGAAGGGCGGTCGCTGACCGGTTGGAAACAACGTCGTCGCCATGGAAACTGTGGCGGCCCCAGCTGGAGGGGCTGGGTGAAGGTTGCCTGGAGAGGCAGTTGCCAAGCTGCAAGGGGTTAGGATTACCTGTCACAACAATAATTCGTTACTCAAGTAAATGGGGTGTGAGGTTTTGTTTGTTTGTTTTAACCTAACTGCCTTTCCTGGGAAGGGGACCAGGAAATTAGAATCTTCAAACTGTGGAAAACTGCAAGACTGGAAATTTAGATCTGTTGGAAAACAGATTTATGGAAACACTCTCAGCAAGAGAATCAAGTCTTCAAATGTCCCCTAGTGACACCCTGTAAATATTGTAACTAATCAGCAATATAATTTATCTTGCTTCTAGATTTGCTATTTGTTGACACAGCACTTCCAGGAATTCTTTGGCAAAATCAAACAGGTTAAGGTGTGTGAATTTAGTGGTATGCTGGGAGAAAGATGTGAAATTTTGCTGTTTGAAGCTGCACAATGCATACTACATCTAAATGATAATAGCCTACGAGAATACTATGTGCCAAAATTAAATTAGGGAAGTGAATACTGCCGGTGTGTTAACAGCATATTCATTCAACAAATATTTGAGCACCTTCTATGTGCCAGTTGCTACGTAATTTTTTTTTTTTTTTTTAATGAGAGTACAGCCTACACTATTGTGTCTGGCACAGAGTAGGTGCTCTAAAATGTCATTTAAGCGAGTGAATGAACAAGTAAAACTTCCTGGTAGTTTGTAAAAGCAAATTATCTTTCTGTAGAAAATAAAATACTTGTATAAATAATGTGACTTTTTTTTTTTTTTTTGAGACAGAGTTTTGATCTTGTTGCCCAGGCTGGAGTGCTCACCACAACCTCCACCTCCCAGGTTCAAGTGATTGTCTTGCCTCAGCCTTCCAAGTAGTTGGGATTACAGGCATGCATCACCAAACCCGACTAATTTTTTTTCTTTTCTTTTTTTTTTTTTTAGTAGAGACGGGGTTTCTCCATGTTGGTCAGGCTGGTCTTGAACTCCTGACCTCAGGTCATCCGCCCACCTCGGCCTCCCAAAATGCTGGGATTACAGGCGTGAACCACTGCACCATGCCACCTTTTCTCTTTTAAACTCAGTCCTATGACAGATTAGACAGTTTTTTTAATGTCAATTTGTTAGGGTTTATTTTTTAGAGACAGGGCTCTCGCTCTGTCACCCAGGCTGGAGTGCAGCGGCACCATCATAGTGAAAGGAGTCAGCTAGATTTTGCATTAGGTAGATAGCAAGGGAAGGGTCCCCAGAGAACCCCCAGCCCATGGGTCAGTGCCTCATCCCCACATAACATAAAAAGCAGCCTGGGAAAAAATTCAAGCGGCAGGCACCAATAAGGGAACTAGCACAGGGTGTTGTGCCTGGAGACATGCCCACGGCTCCACAGATAGAAAAATCTCCAGCCCATTTGGACAAAAACTTGCACAGACCTCCTCCTCACTCACATAAAGGAACAAAGAAATGCCTTTGTCCTTTGTATAGTCAATGGGCTCCCAGGGAAAAAAAAGTTTATTTTCCTTTTGTGGGTATGGGCACAGTGGGCTCCAGTAGGTTCCAGTGGGCACTCTACTTTCCTTTATTTGGATTGTAAGTCCGGCTTCTAGGAATCATCACTTCAGCTCCTGATTTGTCCTGGGCCAAGGTCCAGGGCCAAACTTTCTCTTCAGTTCCTGATAGGTCCCGAGCCAAGCTAAGCAGCATCTATGAATCATCATTTCAGCTCCTGATTAGTACCAGGCCAAGCCCCAGGGTAGCGGGGTCGGGGGACGAAGCACATTCCTTCCCCTTCCCAGTCCATAAAAACCCTGGACCCCAGCCTCATAGGGGGCACCCCATTCAGGTCCCCCTCTCTGCTGGCAGAGAGCTTTCTTCTTTCTCTTATTAAACGTTCGTTCTAAACTAACCTTTGGGTCTGCGCTCCTTAATCATCTTGGAGGTGGGACAAATAACTCCAGGTGTTATCTCAGACAATGAGAAACTGTTACATCTTGGTGCATTGCTGAGACTACAGCAATAGCTCACTGCATCCTCAAACTCCTGGGCTCAAGGGATCCTCCCACCTTAGCCTCCTGAGTAGCTGGGACTACAGGCACACACCACGACATCGGCTAATTTTTAAAAATATTTTGTTGGGACAGTGTCTTACTATGTTGCACAGGCTTGCCTCAAACTAGTGGACTCAAGCAATCCTCCTGCTTCAGCTTCCTAAAAGTGTTGGGATTATAGGCATGAGCCACCATATCTAGCCTGAATGTCAATTTGGTTAGGCTAAATTAGAAGAACTAAAGAGAAGGCAGCAATCTTGTGTATGATATACCCACCTTCTCCCAGTCATTAATCAAACACTAATCTAGGGCTGCTGTGAGGAGATTACAGCTCAATTCAAGTCCCTGGTCAATTGACATTGATCTAAGAAGATTATCCTGGGTGAGCCTGACTCAATCAGTAGAAATCCTTTTAAAAAGATTTAGGCCTGGCAAAGTGGATCAACCCTGTAATCCCAGCACCTTAGGAGGCCGAGCCAGACAGACTTCTTGAGGGAGTTTGAGACCAGCCTGGGCAACATGGTGTAACTCTGTCTCTATTTTAAAAAATTAAAAATTAAAAAAATAATAATAAAGAGATGGGCATGCCCTGAGTCAAACTCCAAACAGCAGCTGGGTCTATAACTGCTCTCCATTTTCTGGTTCTTCCCTTCCTGACAGATAGTCTGCCCTACAGACCATGGACTTGGTTAACCAGCCCCCTCCATTGCATAAGCCAATTCTTTGTTTAAAAAAATATATATATATGTATAGACATACACACACACATATATAGATATAGATATAGATATAGATATAGATGATATGTATTATATCTTAGTGGTTCTGCTTCCCACTTTGAACCCTGACTGATACAATGTACGTCCTTTTTTTTTTTACTTTAAAAAAAAATTTTATTATAGAGACAAAGTCTCACAATGTTGGCCAGGATGGTCTTGAACTCCTGGCCTCAAGCAATCCTCCTGCCTTGGCCTCTAGATGTGCTAGGATTACAGGTGTGAGCCACCACGCCTGGCCGATGTACATCCTTTTTAATAGCCAATGTTTCCAAAAGTGTGTTCTTTTACAAGAACAGATTCCTCTTGAGCTTATACAAATAAATAATATTGCCATAAAACAAGAATACTCATGAATAGTTTCCTAATTCTGGAGATATCAGGTAGAGAGAAAGATAAATATTTCAATTTTACTCACAAAATATACCAAAAAGTTACCAAATTGCTATAAAACTACAGATAATGCAGAGAAAAAAAGTTTTCTTAACTCTGAAAGAAAATAATAATAAAAAGCAACGTTTCAAGCAAAAAAGTCATTAAAATCATTTCAGTCCTCATCAGTTCCGTCCCATGTAATTAATTTTTGTTCTACTTGATAAATTAGCAATTTTAAGTCCAGTTTTTACCATTGGAGTTTCTCAAGTTCTTATTCAGTCCAACTTAATAATCAACAGAGGCCTGTATTCCAGAGTATGTATCAGACTTTTTATCCTTCTCATAAACCTCTTTGAAGACACAATGCTTTAGGATTATATTTGCTTGCAAAGATCATTTAGAAAAAACATTAGAATAAAGCAATTTACTACGAACAACAAGATTTAGAATGGCTATGGTGAAAGACCTGGTAAGAGTTTACAACAATGATGCGATTGACAAGGAAATTTGTTTTTTTCTGTAGTCTATAACAAGTTTACATAGTAGCCATAATTATGACTGATAACATACAAAAAGACACATCAGACTTTTAGGAATCTCATATACTTTTAAAACACATATTAATAACATGTTCATATAAATGTAATGCAAAGGTTTCCTGTATAATTTACATATCAAATAAGCCTAATACGTCTCTCTTAGGCTTCCAGGGGCCATTCTGGGATAACCTAAGGTTAGTTTGAGGCCGAAAAGACTTAATTTAGAATTTGAAATTTGACTTTGGGAAGCCTGTCAAGTATGTCAAAGGATAAAAACACTCAATTAAAATAGAAAAGGCCAGGCTCAGTGGCTCAAACTTGTAATCCCAGCACTTTGGAAGGCTGAGGTGGAAAGATCACTTGAGCCCTGGAGTTTGAGATCAGACTGGGCAACATCAGGGGACTCTGTCTCTACAGAATATTTCTTAGCCAGGCGTTGGTGGTGTGCACTTGTGGGCCCAGCTACTTGGCAGACTGAGGGGGGAGGATCACTTGAGCCTAGGAGGTCGAGGCTGCAGTAAGCCATTACTGCACCACTGCACTCCAGCCTGGGTGACAGAGTGAGACACGGTCTCAAAAAAATTGTTTTTAAATGAAAACAAACGAGGAAAGTTTTAAGACATTTGATCAAAAGAAGATCATAGGTCACTGTAAAATAACAGTTATTCATTTAGCCAAAGTGAAAATTTAAAAGATTTTACAAAGCAGTGCTCATTTCGGCAGCACATAATATTAAAACTGAAATGATACAGAAAAGATTACCATGGTGCCTGCATAAGGATGACACACAAATTTGTGAAGCATTCCATAGTTTTTTTAAAAAAAGATTTTATAAAGCAAAATCCTTCACTTTTTCATAGAGAGAAGACTCAGTTTTCCAAATAATGAAAAGATCTAACAAAGAGAGCAGGGCCGGATGCAGTGGCCTGTGCCCATAATTCCAGGTACTCAGGAGGCCAAGGTGGGAGGATCACTTGAGCTCAGGAGTTCAAGGCTGCAGTGAGCTATTATGGCTGCACTTGTGAATAGCCAATGCACTCCAGCCTGGGCAACAGAGTGAGACTATGTTTATAAAAAATATTTTTAATTAAAAAATTTAATCAGGCCAGGTGCAGTGGGCCACAGCTGTAATCCCAGCACTTTAGGAGATTGAGGCAGGCAAATCACTTGAGGTCAGGAGTTCGAGACCAGCCTGGCCAACATGGTGAAACCCCGTCTCTACCAAAAAATACGAAAATTAGCCAGGCATGGTGGTGCGCGCCTGTAGTCCCAGCTACTTGGGAGGCTGACGTGGGAGAATCGCTTGAACCCAGGAGATGGAGGTTGCAGTGAGCCAAGATCATGCCACTGCACTCCAGCCTGGGCAACAGAGTAAGACCCAAAAAATTTTTTTAAAAATTGTTTAAAGACAGCATGAGGCACACAATCTGTTTCTCTCTCTCTCTCTTCTTTCTTTTGCAATTTACTCAAAAAGTGAACAAAATCTTTTACTATATTTTATTTTATTTTTTGAGACAGGGTCTGGCTCTGTCACCCAGGCTGGAGTGCAATGGCGCAATCTCAGCTCACTGCGACTTCAGCCTCCCAGGCTCAAATCATCCTCCCACCTCAGCCTCCAGAGTAGCTAGGACTACAGGCATGAACCACCATGCCCAGCTAATTTTTGTATTTTTGGTAGAGACAGGGTTTTGCCATGTTGCCCAGGCTGGTCTCAAACTCCTGGGCTTATGCAGTCCTTCTGCCTTGGCCTCCCAAAGTGCTGGGATTACAGGTGTGAGCCACCATACCTGGCTTACTATCTTTTATTAATACCACCAGAAAATCATGTTCAAATGAGAGAACCAAATTTAGTTTTGTATCAGTGTATTACTAAAGCAAATTTCAATAAAACCATAAGGCCAGGCATGGTGGTTCACGCCTGTAATCCCAACACTCTGGGAGGCCAAGGTGGGAAGATCTCTTGAGGCCAGGAGTGCAAGACCAGCCTAGGCAACACAGCTAGCGAGACCCCATCTCTACAAAAAAAAGTTTTTTTAATTAGCCAGGCATGGCTACATACCTGTAGTCCTAACCACCTGGGAGACTGAGGCAAGAGGATTGCTTGAGCCCAGAAATTTGAGATTACAAATGAACTATGACGACACCACCATACACCAGCCTGGGTCACAGATCAAGACCCTGCTTTTAAAAACAAAACAAAACAAAACAAACAATGAATAAATAAATATTAATAATAAAACCTTATAAACAAATAGATCCAGTCTCAGTCAACTTTGACCACATAAGAAATCCATAAGCCTTTTATAACCTCTTACAGTTTTTAAATTTTTTCTCCAACTTTTTATATCCGTTTATTTTTGTATACATTTTTCCATACATTTATTTTTATTTTTATTTTTTGAGACAGAGTCTCACTCTGCCACCCAGGCTGGAGTGCAGTGGTGCAATCTTGGCTCACTGCAACTTCCCCCTCCCGGGTTCAAGCGATTCTCCTGCCTCAGCTTCCCAAGCAGCTGGGACTACAGGCACGTACCACGACGCCCAGCTAAATTTTTTTTTTTTCTGTATTTTTAATAGAGATGGGGTTTCACCATGCTAGCCAGGCTAGTCTCAGAGTCCTGACCTCAGGTGATCCACCCGCCCTGGCCTCCCAAAGTGCCATATATTTATTCTAAGACAATCTTTAAATAACCTTTAATTAGGCAAAAGTTTTTCATTTTTTTTGTTATTGTTTCAGTGGCTAGAAACAATTTTTTTTTTTTTTTTGAGATGGAGTCTCGCTCTGTCGCTGAGGCTGGAGTGCAGTGGCGCAATCTCGGCTCACTGCAAGCTCCGCTTCCTGGGTTCACACCATTCTCCTGCCTCAGCCTCCCGAGTAGCTGGGACTACATGCCCAGCTAATTTCTTTTGTATTTTTAGTAGAGATGGGGTTTCACCGTGTTAGCCAGGATGGCCTCGATCTCCTGACCTTGTGATCCACCCGCCTCAGTCTCCCAAAGTGCTGGGATTACAGGCGTGAGCCACCGTGCCCAGCCAAAACAAAAATTTTTAAACAAAAGCACATATACTCATGACTTAACTTTTCCTCACTAAAAAGATATGTTGTTTTTATCGTACTCTGTATACAAAATTATTTATTTATTTATTTATTTATTTTTTGAGATGGAGTCTCGCTCTGTCGCCCAGGTTGGAGTGCAGTGGCGCGATCTCGGCTCACTGCAAGCTCCGCCTCCCGGGTTCACACCATTCTCCTGCCTCAGCCTCCCTAGTAGCTGGGACTACAGGCACCCACGACCACGCCCTGCTAATTTTTTGTATTATTAGTAGAGACGGGGTTTCGCCGTGTTAGCCAGGATGGTCTCAATCTCCTGACCTCGTGATCCGCCCGCCTTGGCTCCCAAAGTGCTGGGATTACAGGCATTAGCCACCGCGCCCGGCCACAAAATTATTTCTTACTTTCAGTAGTTTTAATTACATATATTACTTTGAATTTTAACTCTTAGTAACCCTAATTTCTAGTGACAACCCAGGAAGTCAGTAATTTTGAATTGTTTTATATCAGTATTTGCAGACAACAGCCACTTAATAATTTCTAAAAAGATATGTTTTCTCAAAGTGTTATTAATGAATCCAAATATATTTAGCTTTCTATATCATATGAAACAAGACATCAAAAAAATGAAAAAAAAACAGAACTTGAGAATAAGTGGGAAAAATGAAAAAAAGACATCAAAGTATATAAACTTAAGTTTAATAATTAATGTTTCAGTATTTTCACTTAGAAATAACTCAGACATTTTACTTTTTTTTTTTTTTAAGAGATGGGGTCTCGGGCCAGGCATGGTGGTTCACGCCTGTAATCCCAGCACTTTGGGAGGCTGAGGTGGGCATATCATGAGGTCAAGAGATCGAGACCATCCTGGCTAACACGGTGAAACCCTGTCTCTACTAAAAAATACAAAAAATTAGCTGGGCATGGTGGCAGGTGCCTGCAGTCCCAGCTACTCAGGAGGCTGAGGCAGGAGAATGGCATGAACCCAGGAGGCAGAGCTTGCAGTGAGCCGAGATCACGCCACTGCACTCCAGCCTGGGCGACAGAGCAAGACTCCATCTCAAAAAAAAAAAAAAGAGATGGGGTCTCACTATGTTGCCCAGGGCTCAAACAATCCTCCCGTCTCAGCCTCCCAAAGTGCTGGGATTACAGGCATGAGCCATTGTGCTCAGCCAATGCGGACAATTTATAATTATCTATTACTTCATTTAATACAGCATGACTTTAAGATTTTAAATTACTGAAAAAGTTTTGGAAACTATGACAAGTTTATTTGTAGATGCTTATCCCATTCACAGTTATCTAATTTACTTGTTCTTAACAACTGTATTTCATTTGCTTATGGAAAGCAAAACTAGCCATTTATGTTATTTATTTATTTATTTATTTTCATTAAGCCCCTTCCATTCTAGAAAGTTATTTATTTTGAAAAAACAAAGCCACCAGGTATAGTGTCTCATCTCATACTGCTAATCTCAGCCCTTTGGGAGGCTGAGGCAGGTGGATCGCTTGAGCCCAGGAGTTTGAGACCAGCTTGGGCAACATAGTGGGATCCCCCATCTCTACAACAAATAAAAAACAATTAGTTGGGTGTAGTTGCGTGTACCTAAAGTAGGAGACCAAGGAGTTCAAGGCTCCAGTGAACTATTATGTTGCCACTGCACTCCAGCCTGGGTGACAGAATGAGACCCTGTCTTAAAAAAATAAAAAGTGGCTGGGCGTGGTGGCTCATGCCTATAATCCCAGCACTTTGGGAGGCCAAGGTGGGTGGATCACCTGAGGTCGGGAGTTTGAGGCCAGCCTGACCAACATGGAGAAACCCTGTCTCTACTAAAAATACAACATTAGCTGGGTGTAGTGATGCATACCTGTAATCCCCGCTACTCAGGAGGCTGAGGCAGGAGAATCGCTTGAACCCAGGAGGTGGAGGTTTTCACTGAGCCAAGATCATGCCATTGCACTCCAGCCTGGGCAAAAGGAGTGAAACTCCATCTCAAAAAATAAATAAATAAAGAGCAAAGAAAACACAAAACTAACCTAACCCTGCATCAGCCAGTCTCATCTTAACCAAGGCCTTTCAGATATTGGACAGAGGCACTTTTCCCAATATCCCTTTGTCCTTCTCCAACCCCAGTCACCCTGTTCCTGAGTATCCATGTGGCATCCAGGACAGCTATGAAGGGCAGAGCCCATCTGTGTCCTGGATTTACATACCAGGTATAGAGCCCAGTACAGAGGATAAAGCTGTGAAGATGATGGTGGAGGTTCCAACCCCTCCCAACATGATAAGGATGCAGAGTTGCGCCAGGGAGGACAGGGCCATACTGCACTCAGCTTTACATGCAGCTGGTAGTCCAGGTGATACAGACACACACGTTTCCAGGCTTCACCATGGCCACCTGTCTAGATCTCAGAATCCAGAGGCCCAAAGCCAAAGACAAAAGCTCATATCAAAATGTGTGCAAGGTTTCAGGGGAGCCCCGCAGCCTGACCTCATAGTTTTAACTTATACACAAATCAAGCAAGTATTAAAAATATCACGGAAGCAACAGTTTTATGACTTTAAAACATCTAGCAAAGAAAGCATAAATCTGTCTGACCAATTGATGTAGGCAAAATGTCTAAATTAAATTCTGAAGATATTTCTTTTTTTTTTTTTTCCGAGACAGAGTCTTGCTGTCTCCCAAGCTGGAGGGCAGTGGCGCGATCTCGGCTCACTGCAACCTCTGCCTCCCAGGTTCAAAAGATTGTCCTGCCTCGGCCTCCTGAGTAGCTGGGATTACAGGCGAACACCACTGCGCCCGGCTAATTTTTGTATTTTTAGTAGAGACAGGGTTTCACCATGTTTAGTAGAGATAATGAAACCCCGTCTAATTTTTGTATTTTTAGTAGAGACGGCGTTTTAACATATTTAGTAGAGACAGTGAAATTCCATCTCTACTAAAAATACAAAAATTAGCCAGACATGGCAGTGCACACCTGTAATCTCAGCTACTTGGGAGGCTGAGGCATGAGAATCGCTTGAACCCGGGAGGTGGAGGCTGCAGTGAGCCGAGATCACACCACTGCACTCCAGCCTGGGTGACAGAGTGAGGCTCCATCTCAAAAATAAAAAAATAAAAAAATAATTACATGGAGGCCAATGACAATTACAGTATCAAACACCTTTTTTCTTGCAATTAAAACCAAATGTTTTTAGCTTTTCCCCTTTCAAGAAAATGAAAATTAAAGCTTTTCCATAATTGCAAGCAAAACAACTCTAATGGCCCTCTTAGAAGAAATCCAGAACTTCATACTATGGCTTAGAATGCACTACACAATTTGGTGGATGCATATCTTTCTTATCTGCTACTCTCCCCTGGTCTCACCTTACTCATCACACTGGACCTCTTTCTGGTCTACAGGTAAAGCAATTCATTCGTTCTTCAAGACCTTTTTTTGTTTTGTTTTGAGACGGAGTTTCACTCTTGTTGCCCAGGCTGGAGTGCAATGGCATGATCTCAACTCACTATGACCTCCATCTCCCAGGTTCAAGCGATTCTCCTGCCTCAGCCTCCCTAGTAGCTGGGATTACAGGTGTGCGCCACCATGCCCAGCTAATTTTTTGTATTTTTAGTAGAGACGGGGTTTCACTATGTTGGCCAGGCTGGTCTCGAACTCCTGACCTTAGGCGATCCACCCGCCTCAGCCTCCCAAAGTGCTGGGATTACAGACGTGAGCCACTGGGCCCGGCGTCTTTAAGACCTTTAAAAGAAATAGCAATAAAGTGCACGATTCCTTAGGCCAGGGGAGGTGGTTTTCACTTGTTATCCCAGAATTTTGGGAGGGTAAGGCGGGGGGCTTGCTTGAGGCCAGGAGTTCGCGACCAGCCCAGGAAACATGGTGAAGCCCTTCTCTACTAAAATACAAAAATTAGCTGGGCGTGGTGGTGTGTGCCTGTAGTCCCAGCTACTTGGGAGGCTGAGGCACGAGAATCGCTTGAACTCTGGAAGCCGAAGTTGCAGTAAGCCAAGATCGCACAGCTGCACTCCAGCTTGGGTGAAAGAGCAAGGCCCTACCTAAAAAATAAAAAAATAAAATAAACAGATAAACAACTATTTCTTAATATATGCCCCATTATTATTCCTTATCTGAAATTGAATTTAACTGAGATCCTGTAATTTTATTTGTTAAATGTAGTAACTAAATAGAGTCTTCCTATTTACTAACTAAAAATAAACACTGGGTGGCTCTTGCCTGTTTGTACTTGAGAGGGTTAGGCGGGAGGATCGCACGAGCCCTGGAGTTCGAGGGGGCAGTGAGCTATGATCAGGCCACTGCACTCCAGCTTGGGCGTCAAAGTGACAACCTGTCTCTAATAAAAAATAACAAACAGCCTTCCGCAGTTTGTCAGTACTATTTCTTTCTGCCAATTAATAGTTGTGTGACCCTGAGCAGGTAATATCTCGGGACTCTGCATCTGTAAAGCGATGGATAAAGAGACCTACCTCATAAGAACTATGAGGCTTAAATAAGATAGTGTGTGTAGCGTTTCTCGCATAGTCTGCGCTCACTAAACGGAGTTATTGTATATCGTTCGTTGTTAACTACCACAAAGGCTCTGCTCAGAGGTGCGTAGGCGCTGGCTCAGCCTGGGGTGAACCCACCAGGCCACCGAAACGAGCGATCAGGGTCGGCAAAGCTGTGGAGATGAAATGGGCAACACCTTCCACACTGCGAGTAAAGCTCGCAATCCGGGTGGAGGCCTCCACGTCCTAGCGCAGTCCAGTCCCGGGCGCAGGGAGGAGAGCTGGTCAGCCAAGATTCCAAGACAGGTGTCCACCTCCTCCAACGAAGCGGAACACGTGACACCACCCTATCCACTTCCGGCTTGGAGGGCATGCCCTCCCGTCACCAGCATGCACTTTCGACAAAACCGTGGAATCTAGTATTTTCCTCTGACACCTTTATATTTTCTTCACTTCCCTATAATTCTGACCTATCGTGTAGGTAAAAATTAATCTTCAGAGTATTACAGACATGCGTGCCCACGCGCTAGGCGAAAGTGCGAGTCGGAAGCACTTCATTCCCTCTCTTCGCTAGCCGGAAGTCGCGAGATCTGAATGAGTCAAAGCCGGCGGCCTCGGCTCCTCAGCTCCACCTGACAGTAGGCCGCTGATCGGCCGCGGGTCTTGTCGACCGCTAGGCCACCAGGTTCATGTGGAGGCTCCCAGGCGCCCGCGCCGCGCTTCGGGTGATCCGGACGGCGGTGGAGAAGCTGAGCCGGGCTGAAGCGGGGAGCCAGACAGCGGCGGGAGCGATGGAGCGCGCTGTAGTGCGCTGCGTACCTTCGGAACCCAAGCTGAGCCTGTCATTCGCTTTGGCTGATGGTAGCCACAAGAACATGCAGCGCGACCAGAGCGAGCCGCTGGGTCGAGTCCTCAGCCGCATCGCTACCAATGCCCTAAAGGGTCACGCTAAGGCGGCCGCCGCCAAGAAGAGCAGGAAGAGCCGGCCGAATGCTAGCGGCGGTGCGGCCTGTTCAGGGCCGGGGCCTGAGCCGGCTGTGTTCTGCGAGCCCGTGGTGAAGCTGTACTACCGGGAAGAGGCAGTGGCTGAGGACGTGCTCAACGTGGATGCCTGGCAAGACGGCGCGGTGCTGCAGATCGGCGATGTTAAGTACAAGGTGGAGCGCAACCCGCCCGCCTTCACCGAACTGCAGTTGCCGCGCTACATCATGGCCGGGTTCCCTGTGTGCCCCAAACTCAGCCTCGAATTTGGGGATCCCGCCAGCTCCCTTTTCCGCTGGTATAAGGAAGCCAAGCCCGGAGCGGCGGAGCCCGAGGTCGGTGTCCCCTCGTCATTGTCTCCCTCCTCACCTTCTTCTTCTTGGACTGAGACTGATGTGGAGGAGCGTGTCTACACCCCGTCCAATGCCGACATCGGGCTAAGGCTCAAGCTTCACTGCACCCCAGGCGATGGGCAGCGCTTTGGGCACAGCCGGGAGTTGGAAAGTGTGTGTGTGGTAGAGGCTGGGCCTGGCACCTGCACTTTTGACCACCGGCATCTCTACACGAAGAAGGTGACTGAGGACGCTCTCATCCGCACTGTCTCTTACAACATCCTGGCAGACACGTACGCGCAGACTGAGTTCTCGCGAACGGTTCTGTACCCATACTGTGCCCCCTACGCCCTGGAGCTCGACTACCGCCAGAACCTTATCCAGAAGGAACTCACCGGCTACAACGCCGATGTCATCTGTTTGCAGGAGGTTGACCGCGCAGTGTTTTCTGACAGCTTGGTACCCGCCCTAGAGGCCTTCGGGCTCGAGGGGGTGTTTCGAATCAAGCAGCACGAAGGCCTGGCCACTTTCTACCGAAAGTCTAAGTTCAGCCTTCTTAGCCAGCATGACATTTCATTCTACGAAGCCCTCGAGTCCGACCCACTTCACAAAGAACTGCTGGAGAAACTAGTTTTGTACCCATCAGCGCAGGAGAAGGTGCTCCAGAGATCTTCTGTTCTTCAGGTAAAGTAGTTCCGCCCGTCTCTTCACATACTGTCCCACTTTTAGGGGCCAGGAAGGCGAGGAATGAGGTGGGGGTTAAAAGTGCGATGAAAGTATCCAGATATTGTTGAAAGGTGTGTTTGCCCTTGTATCTTCAGCACAAAGTTTACTCTTCATTCATTCAGCAGATATTTTTTGAACACCTCTGGTGTGCCTGCCATACTGCAGGTTGCCTTGAACAAGACTAGCAGGGACTTTTACAGTGCTTACAATCTAGCGAGAGGGACACACGCTAAATGCAAGAACAATAGTAGCTAATGTTTTTTACTACTTGCCAAGCACTGTTCTGGCACATTTTAAAGTACTTAAAATTTAAGAGCGTGGTGTGTTTTGAAGTGCTCCATAAATATAAACTAGTTTTTTTTAAATCATAGGCTCATTGAATCTTCACAGTAAGTCCCCTATTCCCATTTTATAGATGTCATTCTTGTGTTAAAGTTTTTAAGTAATTGATTTTGTTCATAATAAGAAGAGCAGCTACCATTTTTTAAGTACCTAAGGTGTTTCATGCACCTTATAAGATCATTTAATTGACTCCACACAACAGCCCATGAGGTGGATGGTATTGTCAGTGACTGCCAGTACGAAACTGGCTAGAAAAGCATCTTTTTGCAGGTCACATTGCTATAAATGGTGAAATGAGTATTCAAACCCAGGTCTGCCTGACTCCAAAGCCTGTGCTTACGCTTGAAAACACTTTCTCCAGTCAAAGTGTTGTCATGTAAAATGTATTGTTTATATTACTAGCTTTATATATTGGACTATTATTATTATTATTATTATTTTGAGACGGAGTCTCTGTCACCTAGGCTGGAGTACGGTGGCGCGATATCGGCTCACCGCAACTTCCGCCTCCCGGGTTCAAGCGATTCTCCTGCCTCAGCCTCCCTAGTAGCTGGGACTAGAGGCGCGTGCCACCACGCCCGGCTAATTTTTTTAGTAGAGACGGGGTTTGGGGTTTCACCATGTTAGCCAGGATGGTCTCGATCTCCTGACCTCGTGATCCGCCCGCCTCAGCCTCCCAAAGTGCTGGGATTACAGGCGTGAGCCACCACGCCCGGCCTATATTGGACTATTATTAAAACATGTTACACTGAACCTAGTCATGTAGATCCTGAAACTTTAAGTTGGATTTCATGACTGCAGTCCTAGTTCATCAAGGGAAGGAGATGGAAGAAAACGTTAGTTCGCCATTAGTCTTAGATAAAAAACAGGCCGGGCCTGGTGGCTTATGCCTGTAATCCCAGCACTTTGGGAGGCCGAGGCGGGTGGATCACAAGTCAGGAAATCGAGACCATCCTGGCTAACACGATGAAACCCCGTCTCTACTACAAATACAAAAAAATTAGCCGGGCGTGGTGGCACGCGCCTGTAGTCCCAGCTACTCCGGAGGCAGAGGCAGGGGAATCGCTTGAACCCGGGAGGCGGAGCTTGCAGTGAGCCGAGATCGCGCTACTGCACTCCAGCCTGGTTGACAGAGTGAGACTGTCTCGAAAAAACTCAAAAAAACAAACAAACAAACAAAAACATTCAGGAGATTTGCAAATGCCAACTGAACTCTTGGCACTTTCCGTTTATTTTAGGTTTCAGTTCTTCAGTCTACAAAGGACTCTTCTAAAAGGATATGTGTTGCTAATACCCATCTTTACTGGCATCCTAAAGGTAGGTTTTATTTGGTATCACAAGTGACTTAAACACGCTTAAAGTTGTTTAAAGTGTTTTACACAAATGCATATCTTGAACGTCACCCAGAGACTGTAATTTGTGTAGTTTTTCTTTTTTAACTTAAAGACAACTTTAAAAAATACTTACATTAATGTTTTTTATATTCATAGGTGGGTATATTCGCCTCATTCAAATGGCAGTAGCCTTGGCTCACATAAGACATGTTTCATGTGATCTGTATCCTGGCATACCAGTTATATTTTGTGGGGACTTTAATAGTACACCATCAACAGGAATGTATCATTTTGTCATCAATGGCAGCATTCCAGAGGATCATGAAGACTGGGCTTCCAATGGGGAGGAGGAAAGATGCAATATGTCTCTTACACATTTCTTCAAGCTGAAAAGTGCTTGTGGTGAACCTGCTTACACAAATTATGTTGGTGGCTTTCATGGATGTCTAGATTACATTTTCATTGACTTAAATGCTTTAGAGGTTGAACAGGTGATTCCATTACCTAGTCATGAAGAAGTTACCACCCACCAGGCCTTACCTAGTGTTTCCCATCCCTCTGATCACATAGCACTTGTATGTGATTTAAAATGGAAATAGATGTGTGTTTAATGGAATTGAAGTCTGAAAAGGAAGTAGTTATTTTAGCAGAAAATTTAATATGAATCAAAGCTTATATGTAAACTTCAAGGAGGAATGGTAAAATGTTCAGCCCTCCTAGTTATGTTCCTGATGTCTTCGTTATGAAACTGTTGATGTTTGCATCATACATCTTCTCTTTCCTTGTTTTCCTCTACAATTGGAGGAGAAACAAATATATTTCTTACTAGCAAAATAGAAAATTGAATTATTTTTCTCCAAATTGAGACTCTCAGAAAAGGAAGATTGAATTAGCGTGTTTTTTGTTTGTTTGTTTTTGTTTTTGTTTTTGTTTTTTTGAGATGGAGTTTCACTCTTGTTGCCCAGGCTGGAGTGCAATGGCACAATCTCGGCTCACTGCAACCTCCGCCCCCTGGGTTTAAGCGATTCTCCTGCCTCAGCTTCCCGAGTAGCTGGGATTACAGGCGTGCGCCAACATGTCTGGCTAATTTTTGTATTTTTAGTAGAAATGGGGTTTCGCCACGTTGGCCAGGCTGGTCTTGAACTCCTGACCTCAGGTGATCCACCCACCTCGGCCTCCCAAAGTGTTGGGATTACAGGCGTGAGCCACCGCACCCGGCCCTTGTGTACATTTTTATAAGAGAATTTTTTTAGCTAGGAGTTCAGAATTTTTAAAGTACCATTTGAATGATCTTAATTTTTCTTTCATGACAACACATTCCAAAATGAATCATGCTTATGTACTAAGAGGGAAAATGTATTTAAGTTAAGGGTGAGAGACTTAAGTTATAGGTGACCTTAGAGACCTAAGGTGAGAGACTTGACACATGGAAGGAGTAACATTAGGGTCTACCTCTACCTCAATTTAGTTAGCGATTTACTACAATTTCAGAGCTTTAACAAAAGATAAAAATAAATCGTCACCAATTGTTATTGCTTCTCATCTTTCATTTTTCAATGAACAAGTAAGGTATTTTCATTCTTATTTTTAGGATTTTAGTTTTTAGTGTATGGTACAAATGAACACAGTTTATATTCTAATTCTTACTGCAGCTCATTTTAATTTTTAGGATGCAAGCACAATTTAGTATTCAAAGTGAGTAGCAACATATTCAACTTGATCCCATTGTCTTCAGTTACTCTTGCCCATGAAAAATGTTCATAAATGAACAGGGTATTTGACCATATGATATTAGAAAATACAGCACATTACTTTATGAGAAACTACCTACTGATATGGGCTTGAAATTTTGGATGAATCATTGAGCATTTCTACACTAGAAGTAATTTCAAAATTGTTGGTTTTTATAAACAGGAAAAAGGTTGAGTAGTGGGACTTTTAAGCATCTCTGAAATAAAAAACTTCTTTTTACAGACAAGCATTATAGTTTGAGTTACAGACAACAGTGTGTATATATGTAATATATATATAGTAAAATGAAATTTAAATATGAAGCCAAACTTTTTAAAATTAGAAACTACAAATGGTTATACTGATTAGTGTCTAGCCTAGAGTGGTAACCATGCTTTACTAATTCAGTTATGAAATACATTATTTATAATGCATTAGCTGTATTAGCTGTTGCTTTTTTGATGTTCAGGATAACTATGTTATCTCATTTCTGCATTTAATTAATAGCTCGAGTATTAAAAGCCCACTCCCTTCAAGAAAAGCTTTGATTTTCCCCAGTCATGAAAGCCCTTGTTTCAAATTCTTTAATCTCTGAACCTAGTATCATAAGAATTTCCTCTTTTGATAACATCTGTACTTTCATATTCTGCTCACTATCAAATGTATTGTTAACACTTAGTAAGTTTGAAAATGAAGGGGTTTTATCTGCATTTGACATTGAACCTTGAAGTACTTTAAGTACTCCAAGGGGAAAATTAAAGTGGAAGTTTCTTCGGATCTTGTTTAGAAAAAACTATAAATAAAAAATTGATGCTACCAAATTGTGCCTTCCTAAATAACATTTTTGAGAGCATTTTAACAGCAGTTTACAAATATGTAAATAATAGATTAAAACCAAATCTTGATTCTCTTGTGAATTTTTTTTTCATTTTAAAAATATGTTTTTGGGCTGTTTTCAAAGAAAGATGTTGATAGAACCCTTAGAGTGACTTGGGAGAAAACAAAGTGTCACATCAAAAAGTTGAGAAACATTTTGAAAGAAAAAATTCGAACATGCCCATGAAAAAAGCATACAGCTTCCACATTAACACTGGCTAGATTAAACTCTAGTCAGAAAAACTCAGCACTTAACAGACATTCCATGTCCTATATCCTTAATTTTGATGTTTTCTGACTAAACAATATACTCAGATTGTATACAGGCATTTCACATTATTAGGACATGGAATGTTATTGTGAAGTGCCATATACTGTGATCAAATCTCCAGTATACGGATACGTTAAAATGATTGGAGTCCAAAGGTAGGGAACACTAAGAAAATGTATAAATAGCATACACATTTCTTTGTACTCATGAGTTAGAATGCAGTGTTATTCAGAAATGTCTGTTTAAAGCACCTATGTGATTGCATTTTTCTATTACATTTGGATTTTTTAGTACATTTAATTTTAAGAAAACATGGGAAATCTAGCGACTTTCTATGGTAAACCACATTTTATAATGTCACAAGTTCTTGCTATAGGAATTAACATTCTAGAATTTTATATTGATTATAAAAGAGTATTTCAGAACATATTATTCTGTTAAAATGAACTCTTGCACAGTTGCCGCTACAGCAAATGTGTCTGCCAATAATCAAAATTCATGAGCAAACAATCGTTTCTGGCTGTAATGTATGTTCTTTTTGAAATTCTGTATGCTAAAATCAGTTGTTTCAAAATTTCAAGAATTCCACTGAGTAGTGATTTTTCTGAGTACTAAGCTATGATCTCATCAGAATGTGCTGGTTTCAGTCTGGAGATAGATTTCTGAGGAGCCTAATACAAGGGAGAGAATGTCCAAAGAACACTACTGTGGAAAGTTCTTACGATGGAAATTGACATCTTTTGTATCTCATTCTCCAGCCGTGAAATAAAGGCAGAGGTTCCCTGCAAACTAGTTTGGTTGGGATAAATCCAATATTTATATATAATGAAAAATAAAAGTTTGCATTATTAGTTTATCACAAGACCCATGTGACAACTCAGAAAATATTCTCAGCATAATTTTTTTAAGAGATAGAGTCTCACTGTTACCCAGGCTGGAGTGCAGTGGTGCAGTCATAACTTACTACAGCCTCAAACTGCGGGGCTCAAATGATCCTCCTGCCTCAGCGTCCCAAGTAGTTGAGATTACAAGCCCAACCTTCCATAACTGAAAACTAACTTTCTTTTTTTCTTTTTTTATTATTATACTTTAAGTTCTAGTGTACATGTGCCCAACGTGCAGATTTGTTACATAGGTATACATGTGCCATGTTGGTTTGCTGCACCCGTTAACTCGTCATTTACATTAGGTATTTCTCCTAATGCTATCCCTCCCCCAGCCCTGAAAATGAATTTTTTAAACACAAATAAAAAATATTTCAGTGTTTTGAGAATTTTAATAATTTGCTTAATATAGTACAGGAAGGCAACACTATCTAGAGGGCCAGGCATAGTGGCTCTTGACTGTAATCACAACATTTTGGGAGGCTGAGGCAGGAGGATCACTTGAGCTGAGGAGTTCAAGACCAGCCTTGGCAACATTGTGAGACCCTATCTCTGCAAAAAATAAAATTAACCAGGCATGGTGGTGCATGCCTGTAGTCCCAGCTGCTCAGGAGGCTGAGGCCAGAGGATCACTTGAGCCCATGAGGTCAAGCCTGCAGTGAGTTGTGATCAAGGTGCGCTGCACTCCAGCCTGGGTAATAGAGCAAGACCCTGTCTTCAAAAAACCACTCTAGATTTCATGTTGTAGGGGGTAGGGAGGACAATTTTTAACAGCTTTAACTGACATGGGTAATATATAAGTTCTGTGTTCTCACTTTATATGAAAGTACTTTTTTAAATGTTAAAAATACTAGAGCTGTATTAACTTCGTGATTTTATTTTTCTTCTTAGCACTAACTTCAAAATAACCATACAGTACTGCTTGTAATTTTTGTATTTTTAGTAGAGACAGGGTTTCACCATATTGGCCAGGCTGGTCTTGAACTCCTGAACTCAAGTGATCTGCCTGCCTCAGCCTCTGAAAGTGCTGGGATTACAGGCATGAGCCACGGTACCCGGCCTAAATTTTAATTTTATATATAAATGGCAAAATAATCTTAAATATAGTAAATCTGTTCACCTATCTGCTATGCTAGCAAATTCTGGGTTGTCAAAAATCCATGTTCATACTGTCAGTGTTAGATTTTTACTCATAATTTAAAATTTCCCCGCAAAATTTCACAGAAAACTGAATTATTCATCTCTATCTTCTGTCCAATTTATGTAATGAATGTATGTCAAAGCATTTATATAACACAGTCCATTTTGCCCAGTAATTCACTTTAATGATGTTATCATGAAGTATTGATGTACTTTTTTTTTAGTGTATTGAAGTATTCCTAGGTTGCATTTGTGCTAGTTTCATACCATTTGTGTTCCTTATATATTGAAGATGGTTCAGTAGGGGAAATGGATAGGCTTTATTTAGTTGGCTTTCTTATACTGGATAATATAAACACTTTTTTTTTCTTTTTTGAGACAGGGTCTGGCTTTGTCACCCAGGCTTGGAGGGCACTGGTGCCATCACGGCTTACTGCAACCTCCACCTCCTGGGCTTATGCAATCCTCCCACCACAGCCTCCCCAAATAGCTGGGACTACAGGTGCGCACCGCCACACCTGGCTAATTTTTGTATATTTTATAGGCAAAAAAAAAAAAAAAAATGGTTTCACCATGTTGCCCAGGCTGGTCTTGAAATTCTCAGTTCAAGCAGTCCACCCACCTCGGCCTCCCAAAGTGCTGATATTACAGACATGAGCCACCCCACCCAGTCAGCACACATTTTTTTTTTTTTTAAATAAGACAGGGTGTTGCTGTTGCCCAGGCTGGAGCGCAGTGGCATGATCATAGCTCACTGCAGCATCAAACTCCAGGGCTTAAGCGATCCTCCCACCTCAGCCTCCTGAGTAGCTGGGACTATAGGTGCATGCCACCATGCCTGGCTAATTTTTTAAATTGTTTGTAGAGATGGGGGTCTCTCTATGTTGCCCAGACTGGTCTTAAACTCCTGGGCTCAAATGACTCTCCCGCTTCAGCCTCCCAAAGTACTGGGATTATAGGTGTGAGCCAGCACACATAGCCCTTTTTTTAAAAAAATTAAAAACAAATTTTTTCTCCAGAAAAAAACATATTTATCAACTTTTAAAAACATTTTATGGGTACATAGTAGGTGTATATATTTATGTGGGACATATTTCTTTTGATAGAGTAAATTGAGTATTCATCACATCAAGCATTCATTTGTGTTACGAACATTCCAATTGTACTCTCTCAGTTATTCTAAAATGTGATATACACACTTTTAAAAGGATTTATTGCGCTGGGCGCGGTGGCTCACGCCTGTAATCCCAGCACTCTGGGAGGCTGAGGCCGGTGGATCATGAGGTCAGATCGAGACCATCCTGGCCAACATGGTGAAACCCTGTCTCTACTAAAAATACAAAAATTAGCTGGGCATGGTGGCGCGCGCCTGTAGTCTCAGCTGCTTGGGGAGGCTGAGGCAGGAGAATCACTTGAACCCGGGAGGCAGAGGTTGCAGTGAGCCGAGATCACGCCATTGCACTCCAGCCTGGCAACAAAGCGGGACTCTGTCTCAAAAATAAAATAAAATAAAATTTTAAAAAAAGGATTTATTGCATATAATTCTTATATCCCCTGTGGAATAGTTTGGAGAAATGGTACATCCAAAGATAAAATCAGTTAGAAATAAACAGTGGCCTTCCTCAGAAAAGCTGGGCTATAGTGTTTTGGGTATCTTAAACCAAGAAAGGGTATTTCTATCCCAGCTGTAGAGTTTTTAATAATTCTATTATAAATAATGGAATCAGGCCAGCACAGTGGCTCACGTCACATAATCCCACTCTCCTTAAGAGCTTTTTTTGTCACTGCATATCAACTCAGTTGACAAGGACTGGCCCCCAAAAGAAGCTGCATACTCACTTGGCAGTCACTCCCCATTCTCCCTAGCTCCTGGCAACAACTTAACCTGTCTCTGTGGATTTGCCTATTCTGGACATTTCATATAAATTGAATCATAATTTATGTAGTCTTTTGTGACTGGCTTCTTTTACTTAGGATGTTTTTAAGGTTCTTACTGTTGTAGGATGTATCAGGAGTTTGTTTTTATGATGAATGTTCCATCTTATGGACGTACCACATTTGTCCATTCATTAGTTGACAGACATTTGAATTGCTTCCACTTCCTGGCTTCTATGAATAATGCTGCCATAAACATTTGTGATAAGTTTTTGAGTGAATATGTGTTTTTGTTTCTCTTGGGCACATACAGGGAATGGAATTGTTGGGTGCTGTGATAACCTTTTGAGGAACTGCCAGACTTACGGAAAGCAGTTGCACTATTTTGCATTCCCACCAAGCAATATGAGGGTTCCAGTTTCCCTCCATCCTCATTAACACTTTATTATCTTTTTGATTATAGGCATCCTAGTGTCAAGTGGCATCTTATTGTGGTTTTGATTTGCATTTCCATGATGGTTAACGATGTTAAGCATCTTTTCATGTGCTCGTTGGCCATCTATATATCTCTGGAGAAATGTCTTTTGAAATACTTTGCCCATTTAAAAATGTTATTTGTTGTTTAGCCACCCCTCCTTAAAAAATAAATAATATAATAATCCATCATCCCTTGCCTTTTCAGGACCATCCGGGAGGCAAATCTTTCTTAGTCTGTGCTTCATACATCCCTTTAGTTCCCAGCCTAAAAAAAAGAAACACTGTAACCAAAATCTGGTGAGTTCCCAGAAAGCAAGGATAAGCTGTCCAACACCAAGTACTTACATGCCCAATAAAATTGACAATGTGGTCGGGCACAGTGGCTCATGCCTGTAATCCTAGCACTTTGGGAGGCCAAGGCGGTTGGATCACTTGAGGTCAGGAGTTTGAAACCAGCCTGGCCAACATGGTGAACCTCCGTCTCTACTAAAAATACAAAAAAATTAGCTGGCCGTGGTGGTACACGCCTGTAGTCCCAGCTAATCCGGAGACTGAGGCAGGAGAATCGCTTGAACCCAGGAGGCAGAGGTTGCAGTGAGCTGAGATCATGCCACTGCACTCTAGCCTGGGTGACAGAGCACGACTCCGTGTCAAAAAAAAAAAAAAATTGAAAATGTATCATTTGAACAATATAGAAAAATGACTGACAAGGTCAGGAAGGAACCTAACTCCGCTGCCTCTAACACATGAAGCCATACTGGCAGGCATCCAATAATACAGCTACCTTAATTATTCTTTGCCTGTGTCTAGATAAGCACTTCTGCTATTCATTTCTCACAATCTTATTAGAATTTAACCATTTAAGATAAAGGGATAGTCCTCTAAAAGTAGCATAGTAAGAAATAACAGCAGCCAAGTAACCTTCCAGTAGTGGCCCATGAATGCAATGTCACATGTATATACTAGTAGAAATATATTTTCCCTATTAGATCCTCAGGTAATGAACTTACAGACTGTTATTATTCAATCTAGTTTTCATACTAATTCTACCAAAGCTGGTAACCAATATTTACATTATTGAAACATCCAGAAGTACAAGCTACCAGAAGGTACAAGCACTTGTTCTCTCCAGTTTCTCCCCATTGAAAAGCACTTGGCCGGATGCGGTGGCTCACACCTGTAATCCCACCTGAGGTCAGGAATTCAAGACTAGCCTGGCCAACATGGTGAAACCCCATCTCTACTAAAAATACCAAAAATTAGCCGGACATGGTGGTGTGTGCCTGTAATCCCAGCTACTCGGGAGGCTGAGGCAGGAGAATCGCTTGAACCCGGGAGGTGGAGGTTGCAGTGAGCCAAGATCACACCACTGCACTCCAGCCTGGGTGATAAGAGTGAGACTCCATCTCAAAAAAAAAAAAAAAAAAAAAAAAAGTAAAGCACTTGTTTTCAATGACAAGTTAGGAGTCACTTTCAAACCTCCATGACAAAGAACCAGGTATTTCACATTTAATTAAATTTGGGCAAGGCAGAGTGGCTCATACCTGTAATCCCAGCACTTTGGGAGGCCTAGGTGGGTGGATCACTTGAACTCTGGAGTTGAAGGCCAGCCTAAGCAACATGGCGAAACCCCATCTCTACAAAAATTAGCCAAGACTGATGGCGTGGGCCTGTAGTCCCAGCTATGTGGGAGGCTGAGGTGGGAGGATCGCTTGAGCTTGGGAGGTTGAGGCTGCAGTGAGCTGTGATCATGCCACTGCACTCCAGCCTGGGCGACAGAGCGAGACCCTGTCTCAAAAAAAAAAGTTTGATCATAGTAAGTGACCTGAAAGTAATTACTACTGCCTGAAAGATAATTCTGTATACTCAAGTAAACTGAAGTGTCTGAATGAGACACCAATACTCTCCACAAAAGATACACTTCTTTTTTTTTTTTTTTTAATAGAGATGGAGGTCTCACTATATTTACCAGGTTGGTCTCAAACTCCTGGCCTCAAAGGATCCTCCCGCCTCAGCCTCCCAAAGTGCTGGGATTACAGGCATGAGCTACCATGCCTTTTTTATTTTCAATGGAGGGTATATAAGGTAAGTGGAAAATTTCATGGAAATTGAAACTCTTAACAAAATATCAAGATATTACATCACAGAAAAGCAGCTTATGTTAAAGTGAGACAAAAGACAATGGGAAATGTTATGGACAAAAAAAAAAAAAAAAATGCTTATTGGACAGGGGAACCAGAGAGCAGATAATCGTACTATCCTCAACTCTGATGCTGCCAAGTGATCCTGTAAGGGAATCACAATTTCTCTTCAGTTTCTCTACTGACATTATTTGACAATTAGTTGACAGAATACTTTTTAATCTAGGGATATAATCAACTGTTCTGTACAATAGGGGCGGTCACAGAGAACTCTTATTGCTTGACCAACAGTAGGTTTAACATTTGAATGAACAGTAAGCATTGAATCTTGATAGCATCAACTATTTCATAATACTTCAATAAATAAGGACAGTGACAGTGATTTTATGTTTGCATAAAACAGGGAAAGGCTAGGGGTTATCTCTCAATACTTTCTCCCAAAACATTTAAACCACTTCTGTTTGGAAAAAGAAAAAAAGGAACTTTAAAAAAAAATACAAAGACTGAAGAAAAAATAATTTTTAGGGGTAAATGTGTCAAGTTGCTAATACTTTATTATTATTATTATTTTGAGACGGAGTTTCACTCATTGCCCAGGCTGGAGTGCAATGGTGCGGTCTTGGCTCACCACAACCTCCACCTCCCAGGTTCAAGCAATTCTCCCACTTCAGCCTCTCGAGTAGCTGGGATTACAGGCATGCACCACCATGCATGGCTAGTTTTGTATTTTTAGTAGAGATGGGGTTTCTCCATGTTTGTTAGTCAGTCTGGTCTTGAACTCCCAACCTCAGGTGATCCACCTGCCTCGGCCTCCCAAAGTGCCAGGATTACAGATGTGAGCCACCCCACCCAGCCTAATACTTTCTTTAAAAACTATAAAAATTACCTGGGCATGGTGGCTCATGCCTGTAGTACCAGCTACTTGTGGGGCTGAGATGGGAGGATCACTTGAGCCCAGGAAGTAAAGGTTTCGGTGAGCCAAGATCCTGCCACTGGACTCCAGCCTGGGTGACAGAGTAAAACCATCTCAAAAAAAAAAAAAAAAAAAAAAAGGTAATTTCCAATGGTACTAAGAGCTGCTTTACATCACGAGTAAGATTACATAGATTCTCTAGTCCCTTTACAGTCCATGTAAACACCTTTGCATAACTAGGTTAAATACCTAGCCCTAACGCTGAACTTATTCACTGATGTTTTATATTTCCTAGTTGATGCCCCATAAGACTACACACACAACAATTATACTATAGTTCAGTTTTATCCTATAGGAAATGACACCTGTCTTCTTTGGAAGGAAGAAAGGAGAATTCATCCAGTTGGCTAGGGAAATTGCATTTCTAACAAGTAACACAAACTAAACATACACTTTGCCCTACCTAATCATCAACCAATTCTAATTTCCTTTTGGTTAATCCAGTGTTTTTTTTTTTTTTTTTTTTGGAGACAGAGTCTTGCAGACCGTGTGCAGTGGCGCTATGTTGGCTCACTGCAACCTCTGCCTCCCAGGTTCAAGCGAGTCTCTTGCCTCAGCCTCTCAAGTAGCTGGGACCACAGCATGCACCAGCACACCAGACCCTTTTTTTTTTTTTTTTGTATTTTTAGTAGAGATGGGGTTTCACCATGTTGCGGCTGGTCTTGAACTCCTGAGCTCAGGCAATCTGCCCACCTTGGCCTCCCAAAGTGCTAGGATTACAGGTGTGAGCCACCACGCCTGGCCATTGTTATTTATTTGACAATTCAAAAATATACATTTTTTTAAAAGTATGCATTTGATTTTGGAATTTTCAATCCATAAATTTAGCTGAATCTTTACAAGCCATTAAGAATGCAACATGAGAATATAGACAGAAACTAAGTTACTCAGTTATCAAGTTGAGCCCTTAAAACTTAATAGATGTAGTTTATGAGGTATACCTTTGTATGAATTATATGCAGCTTTCTGTTAAAGTTCTAAAATTTGCCCTGTTAAAAAGAAAAGTGGTTGTGAAACTTTTTTGTAGGAAAGTAGCATCACTAAGTCTCTATATTGGCCATACAAGTAGCACCTGAATTTTTTTGTTTAATTAACCTTAACTAAAAAACACATACATACATGCTTTTTGGGCAGTTCATTTTATTACAGCCTTTTACTCTCCCTACCCCACTCCACATGCCGCCCCTCCCCACCCCCCACCTGATTTTTTTGTTGTTGTTGTTTTGTTTTTAGTTTTTTAAGTAGAGACAGGGGAAACAGGGTCTTACTACATTGCCAAAGCTGATCTCAAACTCCTATTCTCAAGTGACCCTCCTGCCTCAACCTCCTAAAGTGCTAGGATTACAGGCGTGAGCCACCATGCCAGGCCCTCCTTTTACCCTTGATCTGACTTTAGAAAACTATGTTTTTAATAGTGTTCCCCATGCTGTTATACACATGAAAACAATCTAGATCTCCACTTTATACAATTAGTAACCTACCAGTGGGATCTGTGTTACTGTTCACAGTACATAAAATATGCAAGCAAAGTTGGCTACATAAGAAAATACATTTCAAATACCTTCAAAACTCAAAAAGAACACACACAATTACGTATTTTATCATTTTATTAGGAATAATTCCAAATGGGTTATGAAGAAAATGTATTCATCGAATTTGATGAGTTTTCCAAAAACTCTTAATGAAGATATGTCTGCCCAATAAACAAAACATCAGCAGAACTATCATATACTGAGCAAAAAATCAGGCTGATAACAAAAGCAACATGCAACATAAAAAAGACACAATATAAAGGAAGACAATCTGCTGAGTATTAAAAACCATCTAAATATCAATTCTTTGCAACCAGCACAGAACTAATTGGCTATCAAATCCAAACCCCACCAAGGTTAAGTTTGGCTGATGTAGGCCAGGAGTCAATGTAGGGGGAAAAATTTCCTCAGTGCAAGAGAGCTGAGTAGTGTTTTGGATCTTTCTCTGGCTGGTACAAGCAGTATTAGAAAATCTTTTTGGCAAGGGAGAGAAATAAATACAAATGGAATGCTACATTTTTAAATTAGCAAACTGTCTCAGGAATGATAAAGGTATCAGTAAAGTAGCAAGGGGATAACTTTAAAACATTATTTGTCTGGGGCTCAAAAAACACTCAAAACAATTTATTTAAAGGTTGCACAAGAGCTATGTCCAGGCATTTACGCTTATGGGAAGTAAAATTAAAAGAGGATACTTTTTTCCCAAGGAGAATTTCTTTAAAACCAAGCACATTGCTAAATAGCAACATTATACTCGGTAAACAATAATTGGCAACAAAATAAGTTTAATATTCTGCCCAAACCAGTCCCAGATACTGTTTAATAACCAAGATACAAACTAATTTTGTTGTAACAAGCCTAGACCAATTTTATCAAACATGTCCTTGGTTAGATATCCAATTTCATTTAACGTTTTGAAAGCTCATTTGACAGCCAGTCAAGTCCTTCATACAGACCAGTTCCTTGTGTTGCACAAGTGGCTTGAACATACCACTGTAAAGAGAAGACAAGAAAATACTTGATTAACAAAGTTAATATATAACACCAGTGTTTAAACTTTCTTAATCAAACTTAAGAGTCTTTTCACACCTCTTGCATCTCACAAAACTCTCCCATATTTAAAGCTACTTCTGGCTGGGCGTGGTGGCTCACACCTATAAATCCCAGCACTTTGGGAGGCGGAGATGGGAGGATCACTTGAGCTTAGTAGTTCGAGACCAGCCTGGGTAACATGGTGAGACTTTGTCTCTACTTTTTTAGATTAAATTATTTTTTAAAAATAAAGCCACTTCTACCTATTCTGGAGGTTGCAGTGAGCCGAGGCTGTGCCACTGCACTCCAGCCTGGGCGACAGAGTGAGACTCCGTCTCAATCAATCAAGCTACTTCTACCTATTCATTATATTTAGACAAGATTTTCCCCCCTCATTCAGCTTTCTTTTCAGTGCTGGTTTTTGGTTCCCTTTTAGTAAACTTTCTACCACTTAATCTGAAAAAAGAAATCATGGGGAAATTAGTAACTAATAAACTACCCATCTGGTTTTTATAACTCTCGTTTCCCATAAAACTAAACTCAAAGTAGAAGAGGCAAATTTTTGAAAGAGTAGGGTTTGTTAGGCCGGGCGTGGTGGCTCACACCTGTAATCCCAGCACTTTGGGAGGCTGAGGCGGATGGATCATGAGGTCAGGAGATCGAGACCTTCCTGGCTAACGCAGTGAAACCCTGTCTCTACTAAAAATACAAAAAATTAGCCGGGCGTGGTGGTGGGCGCCTGTAGTCCCAGCTACTCAGGAGGCTGAGGCAGGAGAATGGCATGAACCCAGAAGGCAGAGCTTGCAGTGAGCCGAGATCGTGCCACAGCACTCCAGCCTGGGTGACAGAGCAAGACTCCATCTCAAAAAAAAAAAAAAGAAAGAAAGAAAGAGTAGGGTTTGTTGATATTTTAAGGGCAAGCTTTTCAGACAATTTCACCATCTTTAGTCTCATGCATTCCAAAACGTTCTTGCTTTTAAATGGCAACGAATCTTATCTCTAGTAACTGTGTGAAAGTATCAAAAAAAACCTAGAAAACAATTTACATTTAAGGCATAGTTTACTTTTATTAATTTTTTTGACCAGTTTAATGTTGCAAGGCCACTGCAGGTATACCATGTTGCCAATTATTTGAATACCAAATCTCAGTAACCTAGGAGGCTGGGGAAAGGCTCAAATTCATACCTTCACAGCATGGAAAACTTGTATCATTTACAGTTAGTGTTGCTTGCTTATTTATTGATTGATCGACTGATTGTTTTGAGGCAGAGTACTCACTCTTGCCCAGACTGGAGTGCAGTGGCGTGATCTCGGCTCACTACAACCTCCGCCTCACAGGCTCAAGAGATTCTCGTGCCTTCAGCCTCCCAAGTAGCTGGGGTTACACACATGCACCACCACGACCAGCTAATTTTTGTAATTTTAGTAGAGACAGAGTTTTACCATGTTGCCCAGGCTGGTCTCGAACTCCTGGTCTCAAGTGATCCGCCCACCTTCGCCTCCCAAAGTGCTGGGATTACAGGTGTGAGCCACCACACCCGGCCCAGTTTATGTTCTTCAAATCAGCCTGAGATATCTCAAACAGGCAATAGGTTGTTTTTTTTTGTTTGTTTGTTTGTTTTGAGACGGAGTCTCGCTCTGTCACCCAGGCTGGAGTGCAGTGGCGTGATCTCGGCTCACTGCAACCTCTGCTGCCTGGGTTCAAGTGATTCTCCTGCCTCAGCCTCCAGAGTAGCTGGGCTTGCAGATGCCTGCCACTGCACCTAATTTTTTTGTAGTTTTTAGTAGAGATGGGGTTTCATCATCTTGGCCATGTTGGTCTTGAATTCCTGACCTCATGATCCACCCACCTCAGCCTCCTAAAGTGCTGGGATTACAGGCGTGAGCCACTGCACCCGGCCTGCAATAGGTTCTTTGTTGTTTGTTTCATTTTTTACCACAGCCACAGTATTTCCCTTATTTACAGGTTAATGCAAAACTACTGTAAAAAGCCTATGACACTAAGTTTCTGATAATTTATCTCCATCACTGAATCACTGATCAATGATAAGCAATTTTAGAGAAGTACAAATTTTTTTTTTTTTTTTTAAAGAAACAGTCTTGCTCTGTCACCCAGGCTGGGGTGCAATGGGCACAATCACAGCTCTCTGCAGCCTCCAACTTCTGGGTTCAAACAGTCCTCCCACCTCAGCCTCCCAAGTAGCTGGGACTAAAGGCACATGCCACCACACCCAGCTAATTTTTATTTTTGTAGAGATAGGGTTTCACTTTGTTGCCCGGGCTGGTTTGGAACTCCTGGCCTCAAGCAATCCTCCTGCCTTGGGTTCCCAAAGTATTGGGATTACGGGTGTGAGCCGTGGTACCTGGTCTCCTCCATAAACTGTTATGTTAACAAGCAAACAAGGCTGGGCACCATGGCTGGAATCCCAGCGCTTTGGTAGGCTGAGATAGTGAGAGGATTGCTTGAGTCCAGGAGTTCAAGACCAGCCTAGCAACAAAGCGAGACCCCCCATCTCCACTTTTTTTTTGAGACCGAGTTTCGCTCTTGTTGCCCAGGCTGGAGTGCAGTGGCGCGATCGCGACTCACCGCAACCTCCACCTCCTGGGTTCAAGTGATTCTCCTGCCTCAGCCTTCCTGAGTAGCTGGGATTACAGGCATGCGCAACCACACCTGGCTAATTTTGTATTTTTAGTAGAGACAGGGTTTCTCCCTGGTTGGTCCGGCTGGTCTCAAACTCCCGACCTCAGATGATCTGCTCACCTAGGCCTCCCAAAGTGTTGGGATTACAGGCATGAGCCACCGCACCCAGCCCCCCATCTCCACTTTTAAAACAAGCAAACAAACATTACTGGACCCTTAATAAGAAAGCCAGATTTCAAAATATTTGCTGTAGGGTTACTTAAAAGATACAAAATTAAAATTAAGACTATCAATAATCTTCTTTCCATTCCTTCCACCTCTCCCTTCAAAAAAAAAAAAAAAGAAAAAAGAAACTATCAATAATCTTTAGACCTATTCTACAGTAGTTTTCCGTTTCTTTACAAAAATCAAATAAGGTATTTAAAGTTTATTACCATATTTTTAAATAAATGATGTGCTCATTATTTGTCCAAAGGAGATAATAAATGTTTAAACTGAATATTAGCTTACACAACTATCCTAGTAAGTCTTAATAGTCAAGAGGTTAATATCAACCTCCAAATACTTACTGTTCTGTTACGAAGAGACTGAAGCCCTAGTTTATCTGTCATTTCACTGATGGCCATAGCATTTGGCAAATCCTGTTTGTTTGCAAAAAGTAGCAGCACTGCATCTCTCAATTCATCTACCAGAAGCTGGAAATAAAAGGTAAGGCATTAACAACTACCAACCGGAATCCAATTTTTGAAAATGTCTTCCTATATATACTTTACTCAGCATTAAATACATTATTAAACATTAACCTAATTTCTCGACACAAAGTTCACTCTTACAACTGAAGTCTCATATCCTTCAGTTTTTAAATCCAGAGCAAACAATCATATGCCTTCAAATAAGACAGAACTGTTTTCCAAGTCAATCATCCTACACCCCATTAAATTAAAGCAAATCACTCATCATTCAGCCTTCATGATTACCCATTGTCAGGACTGATAAGGGCAAGAAATACATGTGGGAATAAAATGTTTATGGCAGGTTCTTATGGTACTTAGTAGCAGAAGTACTTAGATAGATGATGATTCTTTTCGGACTTCTATCCTTTCCAACAACAGTGGGACAATAACACAATTATCTGGGTGTTGGCAGTATCATGAAATATACAAAAAAAAAGTACCAAGAACAGAAGTTGTACTGATGCATGATGCAATATAGACGAACCCTGAAAAATTATGCTAAGTGAAAAAATCAGTCACAAAAGAACACATTGTATGTTTTCATTTATATGAATGTCCAGAATAGGTGACTGTATAAAGACAAATTAGTGGCTGTCAGAGGCTGGGAGTGTGGTGTACGAGAGGAAGGAAATGGGAATGACTGCTAATGGTCCAAGATTTCTTTGAGGGTGATGAAAATTTTCTAGTATTAGATTGTGATGATGGTTGTACAACTATGTATGCTAAAAGCCATTGATATGCACATTTAAAAAGGATGACATTTATAGTGTGTGAAGTATGTCTCAACCAAGCTTTTTTTTTTTTTTTTTTTTTTGAAGAGGGAAAGCTGGTGACATTTGACTCAGGCAAAAATCCAACAATGACTTAGTTACACATATACTGGCACAATGGTTTTACAAACTGCCCTCTAATCTTAGGAGGAATGAACAAGAATTAAGATTTCATTTCAGTAAATATTTTATGGCTACAAGTTTAAAATCATGACAAGGATTCTCAGCAGTCTTCCTCCATTTAGTACATTTAACAACATGAACACATGAAAACATTAATCCAATCTATGGGAAGGCTGCAAAATGCCACTGTGAACCAAACATTTGTCTCTACTTTCAGAAGGAATTCCTTATCCTTAAATGGTTACTATTAAAAAACATTTCTGAAGTAATTATTGGCACAGCATAGAGAAAATGGAACCGATGACCTTGGGAACAAAACATCTGAACCAAGATTCCTAGGGTCAAAACCACTACAGCACTATAGATTTGATATCTGTAAAGTAAGGGACTGAGCTAAATCAGATATCCTCAGCCAGAGATAGGCATCAAGATTACCCATGAGGCATTCTAAAAAAAAAAAAAACAACACTGCTCTGCCTTCCTCCCAACTTACTGAAGTAGCTACTCTTCCATGTGTTTTTTAAAACGCTCTATAAGAGATTTTGAAGTACATTATTAAGAACCTGTGGATAATATAGTTTCTTAAGTTTATTTCTAGCCCCCCCAATCCATTTGTGTAATCTAATCATAGTCAAAATGTACTAAACCACCACCAGTTTAATCCAGAAAAGCACACCTTGAAAATGATGAATTTAAAGTATATTTCTTACCATTTTCTGCAGCTCATCTGCTACTTCCTGAATTCTTTCACGATCGTTGCTATCTACCACAAAAATAAGACCCTGGGGAAAAATTGTTTCAGTAAATTTTAACAGTTAAACGACACTCTCTATATGAAACAGTGTAGGCAGCAAAATGGTACCAATGGTTAGACATTAGGAAGAAAATGTCTCTTTAAAAGTAAGAACTTAAGGCTGTAATGCTAAAAGCTGATTTGAGAACTATTTGTAAGTTTAATTTATTAGTGCTATTTCAAATCTAAAAAATTTTTATTCTTCACCAATTAATTACTTTTCTCAACTACCCTAAGAATAAATTGTATCTATTTTTCCCCTTCCCTCTGCACTCTCACATTTAAGTGCAGGTACCAAAATAGCCACAAAGTAGGAACAAAAAGAAAAATAACAAATCAAGGATCCTAAAGAATCGTGAATTTGGCCAGGCATGGTGGCTCATCCTGTAATCCCAGCACTTTGGGAGGCTGAGGCAAACGATCAGGCCTGAAATTGCTTGAACTCAGGAGTTTGAGACCAGCCTGGGCAACATGGCGAAAGGTCATCTCTACAAAAAAATACAAAAATTAGCCAGGTGTGGTGGTGCATGCCTTTAGTCCCAGCTACTTGGGAGATGAGGTGGGAGGAATCACGAGCCCGAGACGGAGGTTGCAGGGAGCTGAAATCGCACCACTGCACTGCAGCCTGGGTGGCAGAGCGAGACCCTATCTCAAAAAACAAACAAAAAAACCCCATGAATTTACTAACTGAATTAGCTTACTGACTCAAAGGCATGTACAGAGTAATAAAAGGGGGGTGGGATAGCGCGAGTGTGTACACTACAGTTTTTATCTGCTTCATCATGGAAGGAAAAAATTAACTTGCTTCAGAATGCTGCCTGCCAACTCTAGATCAGGAAGACATCTTAAGAAAATGATAGCAAGAAAAATCCAAGACTGGGCGCAGTGGCTCACTCCTGTAATCCCAGCACTATGGGAAGCCAAGGCAGGAGGATCACTGGAGCCCAGCAGTTTGAGACCAGCCAGGACAATATGTCAAAACCCTATCTCTTAAAAAAAAAAAGAAAGAAAAATTCAAGATTTACCTGATCGAGTAAGACATTCTTTAAAAAAAGGAAGGTAGTTATCAATTCTTAGAGATACAAATATTAGCTTCTTTTCTCAGACAGGGTCTCAACTCTGTTGCCTAGGAGCACAGTAGCACAATCTTGGCTCACTGCAGCCTTGACCCCCTGGGCTCAAATGATCCTCCCGCCTCAGCCTCCCAAGTAGCTGGGACTACAGGTGCGTGCCACCACACCTAGCTAATTTTTCTATTTTTTGTAGAGATGGGGTTTCACCACGTTGCCCATGTGGTCTCGAACTCCTGGACTCAAGTGATCCACCCATCTTGGCCTCCCAAAGTGTTGGGATTACAGGCATGAGCCATGGCACCTGGCCCATTATTAGAATTCTATACTACAAAATAAATGGAAGGAATTAGGAAGCAACTAGTTGAACTGTTTTTCTAAGAACTTTCAAATGGGAAAGTATAGAATTTTCAGCTAGAAAAGGGGGGGGGCAAAAATAAAAATAATAAAAAAGAAAAAAAGATAAACCTTGACTCCTAAAGTATCAATTTTGATCATGTCACTTATAACAGATTGTCTTGCACTACTGATTTATGTAAGTAACGAGGCTGGTTGAGGTGGCTTTCGCCTGTAATCCCAGCATTCTGGGAGGCCGAGGCAGGTGGATCACCTGAGATCAGGAGTTCGAGATCAGCCTGGTGAAACCCCATCTCTACTAAAAATACAAAAATTAGCCGGGCATGGTGGCACACCTGTAATCCCAGCTACTTGGCAGGCGGAGGCTGCAGTGAGCCGAGATGGCGCCATTGCACTCCAGCCTGGGCGACAAGAGCAAACTACATCTCAAAAAAAAAAAAAAAAAAAAGGAACTAGATTACATCCACTAAGGGCAAAGGACTATACTATATCTTTTTTTTCACCCAGGCTGGAGTGCAGTGGTGCCATCTCAGCTCACTGCAAACCCCTCCTCCCAGTTTCAAATAATTCTCCTGCCTCAGCCTCCTGAGTAGCTGAGATTACAGGCGCCCACCATTACACCTGGCTAATTTTTGTATTTTTAGTAGAGATGAGATTTTACTATGTTGGCCAGGTTAGTCTTGAACTCCTGACCTCAGGTGATCTGCCTGCTTTGGCCTCCCAAAGTGCTGGGATTACAGGTGTGAGCCACCGCGCCCAGCCCCATCCTACATCATTTTCTGTTTACCTCTCAGGATTACCACAGTACTGGGCTCTCCAGGAGCATCTAACACTTATTTTACATCCATTAAATGACAATTTCCTTTGTTTTAGCAAATTGTAAGTCCATTTCCTTTATCTCTGTTGGAAACCATAACTTAATTTTTAAATTTTATTTTACACTGCATCTATACCACCTGGAAAACCATCACTTTAAATATCCTATCCTTTGAGAAAACTTTTGGCTGGCATGGCACCTCTAATCCCACCACTTTGGGAGGCTGGGGTGGGAGGATCACATGAAGTCAGGAGTTCAAGATCACCCTGGGCAGAGTAAGACCCTGTCTCTACGAAAAAAATTAAAATTTTAGTAGGGCATGGTGGCACATGTCTATAGTCCTAGCTACTTAGGAAGCTGAGAAGGGAGGATCACATGAGCCCAGGAGGTTGACTGAAGCTACAGTGAGCCATGATCATGCCACTGCACTCTAGCCTGGGTAACAGAGTGAGACCCCATCTCAAAAACAAAAAATAATGTTTGATGCTTTGGGAGCCAATATAGTGTGGTGGGAAGACAGACTCAAATTCAAATCTTATACTACTTGTTATATATATTATCTAATCCTTGACTATGCCTCGTCTAAATAAAATAAAAATACTAACTTCATAAGCTTGTTAAAGATTAAATGCAATCACAGAGATATAAAAGATCATTGTTCTTGGCTTATCATGGGCATTTATTTAGCAAATATGTCTCCTCCTTTCCATATTTCAAAAGCTACTCCTTTTTAGAACCAAACCTTCCATTTTTTTGTTTCTTCTTTTTTTCAAAAAAGAGGCAAGGTCTCCTTTTGTCCCCCAGGCTGGAGTACAGAGGCGCAACTGTAGCTCACTTCAGCCTCCAACTCCTGTGCTCAGGTGATCCTCCCACCTCAGCCTCTCAAGTAGCTGGGACTACAGGAGTATGCCACCATGCCCAGGTAATTTTTTTTTAATTTTTTTTTGTAGAGACAGGGTTTCACTCTGTTGCCTGGACTGGCCTCAAGTGATCCTCGTATCATGGCCTCCCAAAGTGTTGGTGTTTCAGGCATAAGCCATAGCACCCGGTCCTGAAACCTACCCTTTACAAGAGGTAATGCCCCTAAAAGGGACCTAATTTTATTTTGACTGCTAACTTCCCATTTTTATTCTTTTTTTTTTTTTTTAAATGTAAAGACAGGGTCTCACTATGTTCCCCAGGCTGGCCTCAAACTCCTGAGCTCAAGCGATCCTCCCACCTCAGCCTCCCAAAGTGCTGAGAGTACAGGCATAAGCCACTGCACCCAGCCTTTGTTTTAAAATGCAAATAATGCTATCAGTCCCAAAGTGACATTATTGAGAAGGAGAATTATTTTAGGTATTAATCCCTAATTATTTTCTTCCTGGAACAGCCTAGAATCAAGAGTGAAGAAAAGCTAGGATTCTACAGATAAGCCCAGCTGCTATGAAATTATTTGAAAAGCCAAATATTTACTTATTTACAATGGCAAATTAGTTGGAATTATAAGAGGAATTTACTACACACTGTGCCATGGTTTGTTAGTATAAGTTAGAAACATGGTTAAAGCTATAGTTTCTTTTAAATTTTATAGCTAGGAGAACTGATCAGTAATGCTGGGAATGCAAGCTAAGAGCTTAGCTTTGATTCTATCAGGTAACACATAAAGCTTTCCCCAGCTAGCATGAACTCCCTAGGAAGCAGTACTTAGACTTTTAATTCTCAGATGGTCCAAAGAGGCCAGAATTGGGTCTAATTTCAAATTAAGAATGCAAAGTAAATTACAAAGCATTCTAAACAAATCTAGGGATAAACCCAGGGTTACCCTTGGTCAAGAATTATTAGGCTTAAGGATTAGCAAGGTTTTACTTCATATCTAACTCTTTCAAAATATATTGGCCAAGCGCAGTAGCTCATGCCTGTAATCCCAGCACTTTGGGAAGCCCAGGCAGGTGGATCACATGAGGTCAGGAGATCGAGACCAGCCTGGCTAACATGGTGAAACCCCGTCTCTACTAAAAATACAAAATTAGCCAGGTGTGGTGGCGCATGCCTGAAGTCCCAGCTACTTGGGAGGCTGAGGCAGGAGAATCGCTTGAACCCAGGAGGCAGAGGTTGCAGTGAGCCAAGATTGCGCCATAGCCTGGGTGACAGGACGAGAACTCCATCTCAAAAAAAATAAACAAACTGTCTAGAGGGTAGAGCACATTAGAGATGAGTATGAAACAACACAGCACTGCTTATATCCTAGTAACTGAAGCTGCATAATACATACATGTGAGTTTATTATGCTATTCTATTTGTAGGTGTACAGATTGAGTTTCCTTAATCCAAAAATCCAAATCCAAAACTTCCCGAGCACCAACATAACAAAGAAAAAACTCCCTGGAGTATATCGGATTTTGGATTTCTGGATTTAGAATGCTCAACTGGGTACAATGCAAATATTCCAAAACCCCCAAAATTCTGAGATCAGAAACAGTGGTTTCTGGTCCCAAGAATTTCGGATAAGGAATGTTCACCTTGTATTTAACATTTTCCATAAGGAAGCTTTTTAAAGCATGTGCCTCTGTATCAAGTATCTTTTCTAGTCACAGCTATATTGATGACCATAAACATTCTACTATTTTTTTTTTTTTGAGACAGAGTCTCGCTTTGTCACCCATGCTGGAGTGCAATGGTGTGATCTCGGCTCATCACAACCTCCACCTCCCGGGTTCAAGTGATTCTCCTGCCTCAGCCTCCTGAGTAGCTGGGATCACAGGTGCGCGCCACCACGCCCGGCTAATTTTTGTATTTTTAGTAAAGACGGGGTTTCACTGTGTTGGTCAGGCTGGTCTTGAACTCCTGACCTCGTGATCCGCCCGCCTCAGCCTCCCAAAGTGCTGGGATCACAGGCATGAGCCACCGTGCCTGGCCTAAACATTCTCGTTTTTAAATAAAAAAGTATACCACTTATTTAATATGACATACTATGTAAACCTGGTTGTCCCAGCCACTCACCTAGGGTATTCACTGCCACCTGATGGCAATAAACCCCACTTGTATGCAATGTTTTAAGAGGCTGATAACAAGATGACATTGCAAGTCTTAAAAATATAAAGTGGCAGTGATATCACACTTAAAAAAAATTATTAAGTAATAAAAAAAAACTGACAAGAAATTCCTTGGGTGGTAGAAAACACAATCGAGGTGGGACCAGGTTAAACAAAGGTAGAGTGAGAACAAACTCTCCCATCTTGGGTAAGTCATTCCAAGTTTCAGTTTCCTCATATGTAAGAGAGTTAGATTAGAACAGTGGTTCTCAGCAGGGAGCAATTTTGCCCCCAGGGGATATTTTGCAGGTGTGGAGAGATTTTTGGCTGCTACTTGAGGGCAGCTGCTATTGCCATCTAGTGGGTAGAGGACAAGGATGCCACTAAACAACCTACAATGCATAGAGAGCCCTCCCCATACCCAACAACAAAGAATAACCCAGCCCAAAATGTCAATAGTGCTGTGCTGTAAGATACCAGACCAGTAGTATCAGCACAACCCGAGAACTTGCTAGAAATACAGAATCTCAGGCCTTAGCTAGGACCTATGGACTCAATGTGTATTTTTAACAAATACCCAGGTGATTGATATGCATATTAAAGTTTAAGAAACACTACTGTACCTGGATTATATCCCCTGATATTCTGATTCAAGTCATCTAGGGGATGATCCAGGTCTTGGGATTTTCAAAGGTCCCCATGTGATTCTTACGTGCCACCCCCAAATTTGAGAACTCCTGTTCTACAGGATCACTAAAGTCTCTTCCATGCCAGTATTATATATACATACTATGTGGCAATATAAAAATATCTTACAAATCAATGCAGCGAACTGACTTTACTGTATTTAATAAAGTAAACAAGTAACTGGGCTAAACAAAGGACTATCAATTGTCTTACATTCATCAGAAACTACAATGACAGTTTATACAGACCTTACTTTCTAAACTAAGATGGAAAGCAAAGAACTACGGATAAGAGACCTAATTCATTCTTGTGAACTACACCAGCACCCACCCCATCTTCCAAACACTTACCGCAATTGCTTTACAACTCTTCCACCCTATATAAGTTAGCCTTCAAGGCCTAAGTGAGAGTCCACTGAAGAATGTGGAAGTGGTGATAAGACAAATGCCAACTCATAGTAAACACCAATATCCAAGTAAATACTAGATACTAATAAAAACTTTAGAGCATGAAACCCACAAAGAAAAGTTATAAAAACATACAGTATCCCTTACCTGGGTATTCTGGAAGTAATGCTTCCAGAGAGGCCTAATTCTATCTTGACCACCAACATCCCATACTGTGAAACAAATGTTCTTATATTCTACTGTTTCCACATTAAAACCTACAAAGAAAAACAAAAATGACCGCTGTGCAGCGTCATTAAGAAAATAAAACCTTTTATTGTGGAATTTTCTTAGAATAGTGTTTTTAAAGTACTTCTTTTTATTTTTAAAAAATATATTTAAGCCTAAACATCAACAGAGACAAGGCCTCATTATGTTATGCAGGCTGGTCTTGAACTCCTGGGCTCAAGCAATCCACCCGCCTCGGCCTCCCAAAGTGCTGGGATTACAGGCATGAGCCACCACACCCGGCCTGTTTTAAAAGTACTTCTAAGATAATCAACATGCTTAACAAAAAGACAATCTCAAAACTAGACTGTATATATTTCACTTTACAACATATCATGATATAAAGTCATCTGTAAACTTTCTTACCAATGGTAGGAATGGTGGTGACTATCTCCCCTAACTTCAGTTTATACAGAATGGTTGTCTTGCCAGCAGCATCCAATCCAACTAGAAGAAGACATTATAGATTTAAAATCCAGACCAAAAGCACACTCCAAGAAATAATTTTACAATAAATTTATAGTTCAAAACTAGAAGTTGACTGTTCAAGACAACTTCTAAATGAGTTAGAAATGAAATGACCTTATTTCTGATTCCCAAAGGCAACACTTCCTACAGAAAGCCTTTCCATTCTGCTTTCTAGACCAAGAGAGACAGCATGTACTAGTAAAAGGTAACAAGTATGTAGCTGACTTAGGCTCTAATCTCTAGCTTTGCGACAAACTAGTTGAGTGACTTTAGGACACTGAGACCAGAGAAATTAGCCATAAATAAAGGGACTGGATCAGATCATCTAAGATCTCTTCCAATTAAATTCTATGAACTACCAGCATTTTTTGGGGGGTGGAGGGGCAGGGGAGCGGGGGGACGTATTCTCGCTCTGTTGTCCAGGCGGGAGTGAAGTGGCATGATCTCAGCTCACTGTAACCTCCACCTCCCGGGTTCGAGCAATTCTCCTGCCTCAGCCTCCCAAGTAGCTGGGACTACAGGCGCCCACCACCACGCCCGGCTAATTTTTGTATTTTTAGTAGAGACGGGGTTTCACCATGTTGGCCAGGCTGGTCTCAAACTCCTGGCCTCAAGTGATCTGCCAGCCTGGGCCTGCCAATGTGCTGGGATTACAAGCGTGAGCCACCGTGCCCAGCCATACTACCATTTTTAAAAACACAAATTAGAAGTTGATTCAGACAACATGTAAGTGAATAAAGAATTCTTAAGATTTGTAAAAATATTTTCTCTTATTTACAGAGTAAAATTTGGGTAACAGATTTTGATGCTAAGGGGTAAAAAATACACTGGTATAAGTATGTCCTAGTGGTATAACTATGTTCTAATGAACTTAATGTAACTATGTCCTAGTGACCTTATAATGATAATAAAGGAAGATGAAGCCAATTTTACCCCTGCTTAAATCCATTTCAACATTAAATGTGCCAAAATGAAAACCAAAGTCTGATTAACCTGTTATAAAAATGGCCCTATCACATTACCTAATGTAAACAACGAGTTAATGGGTGCAGCACACCAACATGGCACATGTATACATATGTAACAAACCTGCACATTGTGCACATGTACCCTAGAACTTAAAGTATAATAATAAAAGACCCTATCACATTCATCTACAATATAAGTAATATCTAAATTCTTTTTTTTTTTTTTTGAGACAGAGTATCACTCTGTCACCCAGGCTGAAGTGCAATGGTGCAATATCAGCTCACTGCAACCTCCATCTCCCAG